>NC_000003.12:132190422-132341937 GCF_000001405.40 Homo sapiens | reverse complement strand
TAATGAGACCCAATGTTCAGCTATCTGACTGCTGAAATTGGCAGCCATTTCTGGGAAGCCTTTTTGGAAGATATTGTCTGTCTGATGGATGAAATTTCTAGGGAACTACAATTTGCCAATATTAACCTCAATAGATTTTCATAAAATAATAGAAATTATTGTTAAAGAGCTCCTACTGCCATCTTCTCAAACATAAAAGCTCCAGGGCCAGATGACTGTCATAGAGGAATTCTACCAAGCTTTTCAAGAGTAAATTATTCTAATGCTATTTTAACTGTTCTGGAGCATAGAAGATGAAAGAAAACTTTCAAAAACTTCTTATGAATTAAGTGTAACACTGATACTGACAAAGATTGCCCCCAAAATAAAACTATTAGTTCAATGCCACTTGTAAATATCAATGCAAAAGGTGTAAGTAAAATAACAGGAAGTAATTCAATGTCACATAAAAGGAAATGGGTTTGATTTGAGAAATATAAAGATTGTTCAACATTGGTAAATCTATGAATGTAATCAATCATTGTAATTAATCCAAGGAGAAAAATAATTTGATTGTATTAAAAAATGTTAAAACAATCATTCAGGAGATTAAACAACTAATATTGATTTAAAAAAATACACTCAAGAAAATAAGAAAGGTGGATATTTCCTTAATTTCATAAAAATATGTCTATTTTGGTTCAAAAGCCTGTATGCTTATTAGGAAAACTCCTCTAAAATCAGAAATAAGACAAGAATACCCGCTACCAACACTGCCCATAACATTATACTGTAAGTAGTGGCCAGTGCAAATAGGCAAAAGGAAGAAATCAGAGATACACATTTTTGAAAACTGGAGATACTGTAAACCTGAAACAAACTTAACAAAAAATGTAAAGACATATATGAAGAAAACCCTAAAATAATCTTTAAGATAAAACAAGTAGGAACATGTACCATATTCTTAGGAAGATTTGACAGTGAAAAGTTGCAAATTCTCCCTAAGTTAAATAAATTTAATATGATCCTAATGAAAATACTAAAAATTAAAAAATACTTTTGGAACTAGACAAGCTGACTCTGAAGTTCACAAAGAAAATTAAAACATAGCCATGGAAACTCAGAAAAAGCAATGAGGGATGACTAGCCCTTTAGATATTAAAGCATATTATAAAGTCTTAATAGTTAAAACCCAAGTT
The DNA here is from genome assembly GCF_000001405.40 of Homo sapiens. Lineage (NCBI taxonomy): Eukaryota > Metazoa > Chordata > Mammalia > Primates > Hominidae > Homo > Homo sapiens. The sequence goes on along the minus strand of NC_000003.12, from coordinate 132,340,759 downwards.
TTGGCTAATAAAAAATTAAACAGAATAAAAATTACATAAATAGACCCCACACCTATGGGAATTTTAATATATAATAGCTTCAATAAGTAGGAAAAAAATGAACTATTCAATAAACAATGATGGAGCAATTAGATAATCTTCCAGGAAAAAACTTAAACAGGATACCTTCTACCAGTATGAACTGTAAATGAATTCAATATATAAATGAGAAATGAAGCTAGAGTGGAATTAGAAGAAAGCATTGCAGACTTCCTTTATAACCTAGGAGTGGGGAAAGCTTTTCTAAACATGACTCAAAATATAGAAGCCATATAAGAATACATTGATACAGAACCTACATGGCAAGAACACGGTAAGCAGTTAATAGACAAACTTTTTTTTAAAAATGCCATTCATTATCTATGATATTGTGAAATATATATTTGGTCTTTTTTTTTTTTTTTTGAGACGGAATTTCGTTCTTGTTGCCCAGGCTGGAATGCAGTGGCGCCATCTCGGCTCACTGCAACCTCCGCCTCCTGGGTTCAAGTGATTCTCTTGCCTCAGCCTCCTGAGTAGCTGGGATTACAGGCGCCTGCCACCACGCCTGGCTAATTTTTTGTGTTTCTAGTAGAGACAGGGTTTCACTAAGTTGGCCAGGCTGGTCTCAAACTCCTGACCTCAGGTGATCACCCACCTTGGTCTCCCAAAGTGTTGGGATTACAAGCGTGAGCCACTGTGCCCGGCCTTCTATTTGGTGTTCATCTCCATTTTCTGCCATAGAATTCCTAAAATCCTTGGAGTCTCCAAAGTATGTCTTTTTGCATGCTAATGATTGATTGATGGCTGGCAGTCCCTGGCCAGCTTCAGGATGGGGGTTGGTCACCAGAAAGCCAAGGCCGGGATTAGAGCGTTGGGACTTTCAGCCCTACTTCAGAACCTCTGGGGAGGGGAGGGAGTTAAAATTTAAGTTGATAGCCAATAGCCTGTGGCTTAATCAATCATGCCTATGCAATGAAATCTCCATAAAAAGCCCAAAGGGAGAGGGTTCAGAGAGCCTTCAGAGAGCTGAACACTTAGAGGTTCCTGGAATGTGGTGGTCCTGAAGAAGGCAGGCAAGCTCCTTGACCTTTTCCTTATATCTTTTGTAATATCCTTTGTAATAACCAATAACTGTGTTTCCCTGAGTTCTGTGAGCTGCCCCTGCAAACTGATCGAACCCAAAGAGGAAGTTGTGGGAACCCCAACTTAAAGCCAGCCTGTCAGAAGTTTGGAGGTCTGGACTTTCATCTGTGTCTGAGGTGGCGGGTTGGGGGTGGCCAGTTTTGGGGCCTGAGCCCTCAACCTGTAGGATCTGATGCTATCTCCAAATAGATGGTGTCAAAACTGAATTGGAGGCCACCCAGCTGGTGTCTACTGCAGAACGGGCTGCCTTTTCTTGCAGAGAGATCCCCCATATTTGGTCACAGAAGTCTTCTGTCTGTGTTGATTGGTGTTTTCAAGTGAGAAAAATAGGAAAAAACACATTGAGTGTGTTTTTTTTCACACACAAAATATCACAGACAGAAATGTTAAAATACATAGAAAAAAGCTTCTAAAAACTTATAGCAAAAGGAAAATCAATCATCCAAAAGAAAAATAGTCAAGGGATATTGATATAAAAGGAAATATAAATGGCATTTAACTGATGAGAATACACGGACACATAGAGGGGAAGAAGACACACTGGGGCCTCTTGGAAGGTGAAGGGTGGGAGGAGGCAAAGGGTCAGGAAAAATAACCAATGAGTACTAGGCTTTATACCTGGGTGATGAAATAATCTGTACAACAAACCCCCATGACACATGTTTACCTATATAACAAACCTGCATTTGTACCCCTGAACTTAAAATAAAAGTTAAAAAAGAAATACAATATCAAAAAACAAACCAAAAAATGGTATTTAACTAGATGAAGATACCCAAACTCACTCATCACAAGAAGAAAAGTACTATAGCACGATGTTGTACAGTAGTTATAATAGTGAGCTTCCTTGTCTTATTCCTAATTTTAGAGGAGATGGATGCTTCTAGTGATATTATTTTCCACTTACCAGATTGGCAAATATCCCCAGAGTGGTCCACATACTGTTGGCAAAGTTGTGGAGAAATGGGCATTTGCATGCAGTGCTGATAGAAGTAGAAAGTAGTAAAACCTCTTTGGAGGGTAAATTAATAATATTTCAGATTAACCCAGAATGTCTACTTCTAGGATATTATCCCACAGGTATTCTTGTGAAACTATTTAGATGCACAAGTTATTCATACATGCTGTTTGTAAAAATGAAAGATTGAAAAATGACCCATATTCCTATCAATAGGGGCTGGTTAAATAAATTATGGCATAAATATAAATATTACACATTTGTTAAAAAAAAGGAAAAGAAAGAAAAGGAGGAAACTCTTTACATACAGATATAGAAATATTTCCAATATATTTTCTTAAATGGAAAAAAAAAAACAAAACAAAACCAAGGTGCCCAACCCTATGAATAGTATACCATTTTCGTGTAACAAAAGAAGAAACTATCAGAATATATTTTTATGTTTGTATATGCATAAGGAAATTGGAAGACTGCATAAAATACTACATAAAATACATAAAAGACTGCATAAAATAAACACATAAAAGACTACTAGAAAATAATGCTAGTGGTTACCTGTGGGGTCATGGAGGCTTCCACTGTATTCCTTTTTATATTTTCTAATTTTTGGACAGTATGAATGTATAATATTCAAAAGATTATTTTAAAAAGTACACAGCATTATATCTACCTTTTGTATTGTGCTGAAAATGGGTACTTTGCAAAATAGAAACAAAAAAAAAAGACTATCCTTTGTATATGAAGACAATAATCCCAGCCCCTTAGCCTGAATAAGGCAGGTGATTTTAGACTTATATTTATTCTCATCCAGCCATTTACTCACACCTGGTTCCTCTCAAGGCCATGAGTAAAGGATTCAAAAGGACTGGCTTGTCTATTGGCTTGTGACCCCTGTATGGGGAAGGGAAGCAGGAGTGATGACCTCCCTCATTAAATATTCTAACCCATTGCTGTAACCAGCCACTGACAGATGCATTCGTCCCATCTTTTTAAGAAGCCAAAGCTTCATCTTGTGTCTTGGCCCTCACACTCAAGTACCACTAACAAACTAACAAGTACCACTAAACAAAACTAGCTTTTAACCTTATAAGGGTGCAGCCTCTTCTGGAATTCCTCTGATTTCAAAGTCTCACTCTCAAGTTCTTGAAAACGAGGGCAGTTCCTGAAAGGCAGGTATAGCAACTGAGGATAAGAGAAAAATCATAAAACTGTTATGAGTCAGAAAAACTTTGCTAAATATGCTGCAGCAATATTTTAAGCCTCATTAGGTTCAAAGCAACCTTAATAAAAGATTCAAATGTGTTTTGAGCTGAGTGGAAATTCCAAAATTGGGGAGAAAGAATCAAATGATCTATAGGTCTTAAAATAGTAGGATATGTATTCAGAATTGAAAATCCTTTTTTTTCATTCATAAACTTGCCATAATATAACTGAGCTGTTGGTGGTAAATATTTACACTTCTCGATCTTCCACGTGAATAACTGTTATCTTGCTTCCTTCCCAATCACTTTCATTTCTTGCAGTAGGTGCACACCTGTACACACACACACACACACACACACACACACACACACCCCAACGCATGTATGTATGGAGAAAGGAATTTGATTCTGGAAAAAATCTTAAGTCAATTAACCACTCATTAACTTCAGGTTTTGCAAATTTGCAGACTGTTAAGAGTACGTATTAAATACTTAGAAAAATATACTTCAAAAACCTGTTGTGAGGACAAAGTGAACTTCCTAAAATTAATTAAATTTTGACAGTGTTTTATAATTTTAACTGTAACCCACAGGTTTGTGGCTCTCAAGTTTATTTTGTTGCCCTTACTTTCCATCTGTGACTAGTCCTGTATTTCTAGCCCTTGGTAGAAATAACTAATTTGCATTTTTTTTCCCTCAAATTTAACATGTACAAGGCTAAACTTGTACATGTTACAAGGGCCTTCTTGCTGTCCCTGAAGGCATAGGCTTAGGATCTCTGCATAAAACTGTTCCCTGCCTTGAACACTCCCCAACTGACTTCTACTTCTCTTCTAGCCATCCTTCCCCAGCCTCTATCATATTAAAATGAATTCAACTTCATTTTTAACCATTCCCTCTTTGTAATTTTCTCTGCTTTTGCTAGTGGCAGAATTTATCAACCTACTTCATAGTCACTTTTGTTTCTCTATTTTCAAAACATATCCCCTTCTATTTCAAAATAGACCGCTTTTTTTTATCTTCATAGTCCCCTCCCAGTCCTAGCCACCATAACTTGTGTTTCAACTACTGTGAGAACTTCCTATTTGGTAAATCAGTGTTCACTCTTTCAGCCATCCTAATTCATTCTCCACACAGCAGTTACACTAATACCTTTTATTATTATTATTATGTTTTGAGACAGAGTCTTGCTCTGTCACCCAGGCTGGAGTGCAGTGGCGCGATCTCGGCTCATTGCAAGCTCTGCTTCCCAGGTTCACGCCATTCTCCTTCCTCACTCTCCTGAGTAGCTGGGACTACAGGCGCCTGCCACCACGCCTGGCTAATTTTTTGTACTTTTAGTAGAGACGGGGTTTCACTGTGTTAGCCAGGATGGTCTCGATCTCCTGACCTCGTGATCCACCTGCCTTGGCCTCCCAAAGTGCTGGGATTACAGGCGTGAGCCACCGCGCCCGGCCTATTATTATTTTTTAAGCATGAATCTTTTTAAAGTATCGATCAGATCATGTCATTTTGTGGTTCATGACCTTCATTGGCTTTCCATTTTACCTAAAATAAAATCAAAACTCACCACCACACAGACTACATCAAGAGTTTGCATGAGTTGGCCTCTAGGAACTGCACTGCCCTCTTTTCCTATTACTGTCCCTTGTCACTCCTCTCCAGCAACACTTTGGGCCTTCTTGCTGTCCCGGAAGGCACTGGCTTAGGAGCTCTGCCTAAAACTGTTTCCTGCCTTGAACACTCCCCCATTGACTTCTACCCCTCTTCTAGCCATCCTGGGCCAGTCTCTATCATATTAACCTGTTTCATTTCTTTCCAGGAACTCATCGCCATCTGACATTATTTTATTTTACTTCTTTATCATCTATTTCCTATAAAATATAAACTTGACGAGAGCCAGGATCGTGTCTGTTTTGTTCACTGCTGCAATGTCAATGCCCAGCACAGGGCTTGGCATATTAGTAGCTACTCAGAAAACATTTATTTTAAAAGTTGCTTCCTGTTCATCATTTCTGATTCTGTGTGTCACCTTGTCTTACCTTGCTTCTCTTCCTCTAACATCTTTTACCATCTCATTTCAGGCCTTATTTCTTAATTCCAGAATTGCTTCAATAGTTATTCTCTGAGGCTCCAGTGTCTTTTCTGTCCAAGCTACTGTCAGGCAAGTGCCCAAAAGCACCACTCATCACATGTGCGTAATACCGAAGAATGTATACAGGTTTCTTTTGTGTCCATTGCTTTTAGTCTAAATTTGCATGCATGGCTTTCAAATTGTTCCATAGGAGAAATTATATTGTTAAGAGAAAAAGCAGAAGACTGTTCATTAAAAGGCCTGGAATTTAATTAATTACTTTCTGGATGTTAGTTTTTTCATCCACAAATTGAGTCAGGCTGAAAATAAACAGAATAATCACCGAGACATCTGTCCAGAATTTTGCAGTTTATGGTGTTTTCCATTTTTTAACTAACTTGACTTTCACAAATCCCTAAGAAGAAGTTAGGTGGGTGCTATTTTCCCATGTTACAGAAAGGAAACTGAGGTTTACGGAGGTTACTCAAGGTCATATATCTGAAGTGGTAGTTGGATGTAGGTTTTCCAACTTCAAATTCAGCCCTCCTTCTAACATCACACTGCCTTTCTTTCAACTCAAGATTCCTCCTGGCTATTAAATTTGGATTATCTAATCTGTGTCCAATATAATCAATTTTATTTTCATTCTCTTTCTAAATATGAACTCTGGGCACAGAAGAACTGGCATTCTACATATTCACTCATGGTCGTGTTTTTGTGCTGCCTTCCTCTCCTTCCTCCCTCTCCTCTGAGGTCTGGTTCAAGTTCTCACTCTCTTTATGAAGACCTGAACGACGGCCCTGTGGTAACTGCACGTAAGTCTCATTCTCTGACTTCACCCAGCATATGTGGCTTGTACTTGAAATTATTGCCCGCCATCTTATAATGTCTTCTACACATTTCACACATGCTAATTTGCTTTCATCAAACTATAAATTAGAAAAACTTCGCCTCCTATTTCTCTACAGCATTCAGCACAGCTAAATGCTAGGAATAAGCTAGTGTTGATTGGTTTCATTAGATTTCTTAGTTGATATGAGAGAATTTTTTTGACCTTAGTGAATCAGATAGATGGAAGCCATAGGTAGATAATGTTCCTTGCTTCTCTCTTTCTCTCCCTCACTCTCCCTGTTTCTTTCCTCCTCTTCTACTAGCACCTGCATTCTCTTTCTGTGTAACTTAATTACTATCATTCAGGATTAATTGTTAAATAGCTGTTGTGGTCTACATTTTGCTAAATTTTGGTGCTGCTATCCAGTCTTTGTTTTGTTTTGTTTTTTATTTATTTTTGAGACGGAATTTCGCTCTTGTTGCCCAAGCTGGAGTGCAACGGTGCGATCTTGGCTCACTGCAACCTCCACCTCCCAGGTTTAAGTGATTCTCCTGCCTCAGCCTCCTGAGTAGCTGGGATTACAGGCGTGCACCACCATGCCCAGCTAATATTTGTATTTTTAGTAGAAATGGGGTTTCACCATGTTAGCCAGGCTGGTCTCGAACTCCTGACCTCAGGTGATCTGCCCGCCTCAGCCTTCCAAAGTGCTGGGATTACAGGCATGAGCCACCGCACCTGACCTCCAGTCTTTATCTCTGCAGAAAAGGCTGGTAAAGTGATTTTTTTTCTTTTTGGAATAAAATATTCACAAATGCTTAACACTGGTAATCACAATACTTCCCTCATGATTCTGTGAAGGAAAAGAGATGTAAATGAATCATCCTGTCTTTTCAAGAAACAGCAGAAAAATGGTTGGAGTAGATTTAACTCCAGTGACTTTCTACACAGCATTTGGGAAAAATCCCTAAGTCCCTAGATGCAGCAATTAAGTCAAATTTCTAGGGGTACTGGCAGGACAAAGAGGATAGTAACCTACCCCAGAGGTCACTGGGCAAAAGTCTGGGTCCAGCAGTCAGGCTAAGCTTCAGCCATAAAGAGATGCGATGGTCATGCCTATGATGGGACTGCAGGGAAATTAGGAAGGGATTCTTTGTCCCAAACTATTTCTTTCATATAGCCTTAAGTTTCACACCTGGAAGATTAGTTAGATTTATCTATTGCTACTTTAAAAATACCCATTCCTCTGAAAAGATTAAAGAAAGCTTGGTCGGTCCCAACCTGTGTAAACACGTTTGAGAGTTTCTCTCAAACAGCCCCATTCAGGCAGCTTAGTTTATAGTACTGGTTCTCAAACTTGCCTCCCCACTGGAATCATCGAGGGAGATTATTTTTCAAACACTGATGCCTGGGTCCACCCTCAGACATTCCGATTTCTTACGGAGAGTGCCCTGGGCATCAGGATTTTTTTTAAAAAACCACGTGATCCTAATATGCAGCTAAGTCTGAGAATCATGATTTTATAGGGAAGAAAATTGCTCTGGAATGAAATAGGCCTAGTTTTAATCCCAGAGTGATGCTTGCCAGCAGTGTTGCTTTGGACCAATTTGTTTGTTATTTAACCTCTCCAAGCACTTATTTCCCTCACTATAAAAGGAGAGCAAGAATATTGTCCATTCAGAGTTGTTATGAAAGGTAACACAATGATTCACATAAAATGTTAGGCAATGATTATGCACTCAAATCTTTTTTTCTCTACCTAGGAATGTGGATTTTCATGAGTGGAGGAGTGTTTGGTGGTATAAATATCTTTGGATAATCTGGAGAGTGGAGAAACCTGTTTGGGGCACCAAAAGCCTGGGAATTAAGGCAGAACACTGGGGGACTTGTCTATCTCCCTCTCCCTCTCTCTCTCTCTCTGTGTATGACGATGAGGGGGCAAATTGCCAAGAGTTGCAAGAGTGGCAAAACAAAGTGGATCATACAGATCCAAAGAGAAATTTGGTTCCTACTCTCTCTTAGCTAGGGTTTTCCATGTCCTAAATTGTCCTTTGTATCTTTATTTAAGAAAGAATTAAAACTGCACAGCTCAAGGAGTGTCCAGACTCCCAAATCCACAACTGTTGAGTAGCCTGCCTTCCTCATTCTAGGTCCATCTGAAATCTCCTGGTTTTCCCAGTATACTGACCTGATCTTCAGAAAGAGGAACTGTGTGCACCGGGATGGGCTGCCAGAGTAGGATAGGATTCCAGATGCTGACACCTTCTGGGGGAAACAGGGCTGCCAGGTTTGTCATAGCACTCATCAAAGTCCGGTCAACGTCTGTGCTTCGAATATAAACCTAGAGTAGGAAAATCAAAGCAGAAGCGAACGTAAAGGGAGCATGAGGTTTTTTTCTACAGAGCTGCCAAGGTATTAGAGAAAGGAAAGGACACCCACAGTGAAATATTACAGACATTGTGCTAACATCAGAATCATAATACTTGTTAAGGAATGAGCAATATTATGATCATGGTACAAAGCAACCTGGTTGGCCAATAGTTGAATTGACAAATGAGATCAATTAAGCAGTGGCTACTTGTCAAGCCAAAGTATTTATTCAGGTGTTCATAAAATCTTGAAATTACTCATATTCACAAACTTTTTGGAACAAAAATTTGCATAAAGAGGAATATATTTGTAAACAAGACCTCTGACTTGTATAAGTTCCTTGGAAAACAGGCAAAGCACTTTTATATATGCAGAATTATTTTAATTATTTCAAAGATCAAAGTTCCCACTCTTGGCTCCCCAACTTGCCTGTTCATGTTTATAGGACTCATTCAAGAATTTTCTATATCTCTTTCTTATATACTCTCCAAGTTCATAATGCTGCTCCATGCCCAGCTATGGGAAAAAAATAAAAGCAAAAATTAATGAAAGTAAGTTCTATGAATCACACTATCATAAAAATTTGTTGATTTTTTTTTTCATTATGTGTGTAGAATGAACAATGGTGTGGTTTAATAGTTCCACAATAATGACACATATTTAAGTGAAAACAAAAGAGCTGTACTCTTTAGTTACAGTTCCCTGACTCCCTGAGAAAACTCATTTATCTTCATTAGCACTTAACATAGAGACTTGCACATAGTAAGTGCTTAGTTGATAGTTGGGTGATTGATCTGATTTAAGTAAATGGTTCATCTCTGATGTAGTGGGATCCTTGTTGGTAGAGCATTCAAAGAGACCCACTTGGTGGGGATTTTGTGGAAGAAGCTCAACCATCTGATGAGATTAGACTCGATGAATCTGAAAGTCTCTTTCAACCTCTGTGGGCAATGCTTTACTATCTGCCCAGTTTATTAATTCCTGGTTCATAAAAAAATTAGAACATGTTACTCTAAGTGTGGTCTGTATTGGCTTCACTTAAAAGCATTATAGAAATCAAATTCTTGGGCCCCACCCTTGACCTACTGAACCAGAACCTTTGGGGGTGGTGCTCAAGAATATTTTTTAACAAGCTTCTGATGGACAGTAATCACTGAGATGCACTGCATTAGCTCAGTGGTCCACAACCATTACCGTGCATCAGAAACAAAATTATCCAGCGGTGCATGTTGAAATGCAGATTCCTCAGCATCTCCATCAGAGATTCCAGCTCATTAGTTCCTGAGTGGGGCCCTGACATCTGCATTTTAACAAGTCTCCCAAGTGATTCAGATGCATGTAGTAGAGCACCATGCTTTGGAAATGCAGCATTCAAGTTTGTCTTTAATCCAGAGCCTTACTAGAGCTTTGGGAGCCAGAGAGGAGGTTGTTACGGTGGCTGCTGCTTGGTCCCACTTGTCATTTGCTTGTCACACTTGTCATTTGCTTGACCACCACTATAATCACTTCCCATCTACGATAGGGACAAGGTGGGAAAGGAATAATATACCGTGACCTGAGTAGCGGAGAAGCAGGTACTTTAGGTCTAATTGTGTTCTTACAGCTGACTTTTTAAATAGTCGTCTGTATGAAGCAGTGATTTTCACACTTTAGCATGCACAGAATCACCTGGAGGACTCAATAAAACACAGACTTCTGGGCTTTAATTCCAAAGTTTATGGTTCACTGGGTATTGCGTGAAGAATTTACATTACTGAGAAGTTCCCACGTGATGGTGATGCTGCTGGTCCAGGGACCACACTTTAAAAACCACTGATCTAGACAGCCATCATCTTATGATTATGCAGATTAAAAATACCTAGACAAGGCAGATTAAAAGTACCTAGACACTGATCTAGACAGCCATCATCTTATGATTATGTAGATTTAAAGTACCTAGACAAGGCTGGGTGTGGTGGCTCAGGCCTGAAATTCTAGCACTTTGGGAGGCCAAGGCGGGTGGATTGCCTGAGCTCAGGAGTTTGAGACCAGCCTTGGCAACATGGCGAAACCCCATCTCTACTAAAAATATAAAAAATTAGCCAGGCGTGGTGGTGCTCTCCTGTAGTTCCAGCTACTTGGGAGGCTGAGGCACGAGAATTGCTTGAATCTGGGAGGCAGAGGCTGCAGTGAGCTGAGATCGAGCCACTGCACTCCAGCCTGCGGGGACAGAGTGAGACTCCATCTCAAAAAAAAAAAAAAAAAAAAAAGTACCTAGACAAGGGTAGGAATCTGAGCCCTAGAACCTTGTCACTTCAAATGTGGTCCATGTACCAGTGCCATTGTCATCCTTGGGAGTATGTTAGACATGCAGAATCGCAGGTCCCACATCAGACCTGCTGAATTAGAATCTACATTTTGACAAGATTCCCAAGTGATTCATTTGCACATGGAAGCTTGAGAAATACTGCCCTAATAGAATCTGATGGGTAATCAAGGTTCTTCAGAAGAAGAACTCAGATCCTGCAGCCTAGAAGAATCTTTTGGTCTTAATGGGAAAACATAGCAACAGAACAGGAGTCTATACAGAGCCATAGGTATTAACAAGCAAATCTGAATTTTTGTAGCCTCTCTTTCATTCAAAGGGACAGAAGATGGGTAGGCTATGGTGAGAAGAGCTTTGACCTGGGAGACAGAAGATGCTGGTCTCAAATAGCCTGCCTGAGTTTTCTCCTCTATGAAATATAGTCAGGGCAGAAATTCTCAGCCTCGGCTACACATTAGAGTGAACTGATCACCAAGGAGCTTCTAAAAATCCCAATGCCCAGGACACATACTAGACCAATTAAATAAGAACCTCCCAGGCAGACATCAATATATTTTTTAAACCTCTCCAGATAATCCCAATGTTTTGGCAGGATTAAGACCCATTAGTTTTTGAGACATTCTACTCTAAAGATTCTGTGACATTTTCTTAATTAATATATTTAAACAGATCAGGACAGAAGCAATTCACCTGGCCTTGTGGCTCCAAACAGAAGAGTCATCCAATCTTACAAGCAAAGGGAATAGGGCTTTGGAACAGTGACTAAAGATGGCTTTGCTCCCCAGTTCACCTTCTCCTTAGATGCTCTTCAGAAAGTAGGGCTCCCTGTGTTTAACTGACCACTTATAAGGAAGGTCAAATCCCAATATATCCAGCTGACAAGAAATCATATTCTGATATCAGCACTTTGGGGAATCATGTTTCCCAATGCTGTTGATTCAGCTTATTGATTACAAGACTATTTTTCACTTTCTCATGTGAAGCCTAAGAAATTCAAATCCTGGCTTATGATTACCACTTGGCTCTCTTCAGCATTTCTAAGCTCATATAGTCTTTGTTCATGTACATCTCTTACATTTAAATAAAGCCAGAAGGGCAAAAAATATCAAAACAGACAATTCTATATACATTTCCCCTTGAGACTCATCAAGAATCTTTTTTTTTTTTTTTTTTTTTTTGAGATAGAGTTTTACTCTTGTTGCCCAGGCTGGAGTGCAATGGTGCGATCTTGGCTCACTGCAACCTCCACTTCCCAGGTTCAAGCGATTCTCCTACCTCAGACTCCCGAGTAGCTGGGATTACAGGTGCCCACCACCAATCCTGGCTAATTTTTGTATTTTTAGTAGAGAGAGGGTTTCACCACGTTGGCCAGGCTGGTCTCGAACTCCTGACCTCAGTTGATCCGCCTGCCTCGGCCTCCCAAAGTGCTGGGATTACAGGCGTGAGCCACCACACCCAGCTTCATCAACAATCTTTAGCTAAAAGTCCAACCAACCTGGGTGAGTTGGCCAAATCCTTGTGGCCATGAGGATTCCTTTATGGGGTCAGTGGGAAAGGTGTCAATGGGACTTCGGTCTCCATGCCGAAACACCTGAAAGTAGATGTGAGAGAGTGATGTTACAAACGTCACTTGGGTGTTTTGCTTCTGCTCATTATAATAGTTTTTTTTTTTCTAACTCATTGGTTTTAACTTTGGCTTCCCATTGTAATCACGTAAGGAGTTTTAAAAGATTCTGAGGACTGGCTTTCAACCTTAGTGATTTTTATTTAATTAGTCTGGGATGTGGCCAGGACATCAGGATTTAAAAAATCTCCCTGGGTAAATCTCTAGTTAAGAACCACTATTCTAAGTTCACTAACACTTTCACTGTGTTTCAGGTAATGTAAGAATCAAGATGATCAGCCATTAGAAGGCAGGTGACACATAATGGAGATCGGTTTGTACATAAGATAGGACAGAAAGGAACACAAAGCTGACAAGAGTACTTTACTGCAGACAAACTCTGATGAGAAGTATTCTTCCCTTAATGATTACAGTAATAGTGGTATAACTTTTTTTTTTTTGAAACAGTGTCTTGCTCTGTTGCCCAGGCTGGAGTGCAGTGGCGAATCCCAGGTTCAAGCAATTCTCCTGCCTCAGCCGCCTGAGTAGCTGGGACTACAGGCGCTTGCCACCACGCCCAGCTAATTTTTTTATTTTTAGTAGAGATGGAGTTTCACCATGTTGGCCAGGCTGGTCTTGAACTCCTGACCTCAGGTGGTCCACTTGCCTCGGCCTTCCAAAGTGCTGGGATTACAGGTGTGAGCCACCGTGCCCAACTAGTATAACTTTTTTTTTTTTTTCGAGACTGAGTCTTGCTCTGTCATCTAGGCTGGAGTGCAATGGCACCATCTTGGCTCGCTGTAGCCTCTGCCTCCCAGGTTCAAGTGATTCTCATGCCTCAGCCTCCCGAGAAGCTGGGATTACAGGCACACGCCACCACACCCAGCTAATCTTTGTATTTTTAGTAGAGATGGGGTTTCACCATGTTGGCCAGGCTGGTCTTGAACTCCTGACCTAGTGATCCACCTGCCTTGGCCTCCCAAAGTGCTGGGATTACAGGCATGAGCCACCACACCTGGCAACATTTTATATACAATAAAAATAATAGATTTTTAACACCACATACAATTTGTGACCATTTTGAGCCAATGATTTGTTCATTTTTTGGAGATTAGGAGTAAAAGATTGCAGGTGGGGAGGTTAGGAAAGCTAATTCTCAATACTTTAATAACATACTTCTATATTTGTACCCATGTCATGCTATTGTGATTGCACATTTCTCTTTGGGAAGAGTAGTCTGGACTTTTGAAATCTTGGTGCTTTGATTCTAATATGCTTTCTCAGTATAATATCAAACCAAACACAAAGCCATCTTATGAGCAAAAGATAAGGAAAGAAAACACTGAAGAACTACAAGATGAAGTCTACACTGATGTCAGCAAATATTTTTAATATAGAGACAGCTGCATAACACCTTGATTTATCTGAGGTTACCCGCACCTGTACTTATACTACCTGGCTAAAATGTTCCATTGAAAAGTAAGCTAAGAACCTGCTCTTTTGAAATTCTGTAAAACAGAATTCAATAGACATTAAATAAGAAAACAGTCTCAGACTTTAGTCATTTTTGAGAAGGAATTCCAAGAAAGTGGGAGATGCTTGGTTTGTGTCTCTAATATCTGAAGAAAACAGATCTTTTGGCCCTTTAAACTAGTGACAAATTAAAACTTCGGTAGAGTAGTCTACAGAAACAGGGGCAATGATGCAATAAATGTTAAGCGATCATTTTGGTCAGGTGAGAAATTACTTTCATGAATGATCCCCTGAAGGCAGGAAGGACAGCTGCATATTTTTTTGTGAGCACCTGCAGTTACTAGTCTCAGGGGTGACTTGGTCATGATCAGAAATGATTATGGTTAATCATTGATGCCTCTTTCCACAATTGAAGTACATTTTAGAGTTTTTATATCCCAGGTAAATGTGTCTTTGAATAACTAAAGTTGTTACATGGTTTCAATAAATTACAAACCCCACACTGTTTTAGTTTCTAGGGCTTCTCAACCTCAGCATTGTTGACATTTTGGGCTAGATAATTCTTTGTTGTGGGGGTTGTCCTGTGCATTGTAGAATGTCTAGCAGCATCCCTAGCCTTTACCCACCGGATGCCAGTAACATTCCCCAGCTGTGACAACTGAAAAAGGCACATTTTCTGCCATAGGGGCAGAAAATCACCCCAAGTTGAGAGCCACTGAGTTAGCCAAAGAGAAGTCAGGTGAGAGACATTGTAATAAAATAATTTACATTGCTTCCCACCAACCTATAACCACAACGGTAACTCCTTAACATTTTTTGAACACTCACTTTGTCCTGGAAACTGTGCTAAGTGCTTCTCATAGATGTAATCTTCTCATCAGTTCCACAAAGCAGTTACTATTATTATTTCCATTTCACAAATGAGGAAGTTTAGCTTAATTAAGTGACCTGTCTAAACTCACACAGCATGTAAGAAGTGGTAGAGCTGATATTCAAACACAGGCTGTGCCTCCAACTCCAGCATACTTAACCACCTGTGAGAGGTTCATTTCTGTATGATCACACTCCTCACAGTCCCACCAGCTAAATCTGAATGGTCTGGGATCTAACGCTTCTTTATTAACTCTACTTAGTATACTCTTTTCCTCTAGGATTGGAAGGGGTGTGTGTGTGTGTGTGTGTGTGTTTTGTATCAGAAGAAACCAAAACCTTGATACGGAAACTACCCCGAAGGCACTGTGAACTATGTATATTATTGAAAGAATAGAACTGAGGTTATGCAACTAAATGACAGAATGGCCTGAGAGAGAAAAACAAGTGTGGTCACCTTAGCAGAGTGTTTTGAAGAGCAGAGAACTGGAACATAATCATGAGACTTGGGCAAACTTTCTCACTCTGGCCCATAGTTCAGAAATAATTGTACTCCCCTACATTTCAGTAGGTTTTAAGTGTTTCCAAGGTAGTTGCTCAAACATGCTGTCAACCCTTTGGAAGGGATGTCCTGGAGAAACACTTAATAAACCATTCTCCACTTCCAGGGCTGGAAATCAAAATGTGTGCACACACCCCTCCCGCAGGCAAATGTGAAGCTGGTGTTCCTTGAGCTTTTGGAGTTTCAAAATTCAGCTGGAGTTCTTGGACTATGCGAAGACATTCTTTTAATTCTGTGGTAGAGCAATCTTCTTAACTGCTGCTCTACCAATTATTACCTCTGTGCTCAGTCCAGCAATCATACTCTATGAAATCCTTTAAAAACCTAAAAATACTTTATTAGCAATTAGGATTTTTGCAGTAGTAGTGGTAATTGTAATAGAAAGACATCCAAGATAATAACAATTCCTGGCCAGGCACAGTGGCTCATGCCTATAATCCCAGCACTTTGGGAGGCTGAGGCAGGCGGATCATGAGGTCAGGAGATCAAGACTATCCTGGCCAACATGGTGAAACCCCATCTCTACTAAAAATACAAAAATTAGCTGGGTGTGGTGGCGCATGCCTGTAGTCCCAGCTACTCGGGAGACTGAGGCAGGAGAATCACTTGAACCTGGGAGGCAGAGGTTGCAGTAAGCCGAGATCGTGCCACTGCACTTCAGCCTGGTGACAGAGTGAGACTCCGTCTCAAAATAAATAAATAAAAATAAAAAAAAATAATAATTCCTTACATTTGCACAACCCTCCATGGTTTGTAGAATTTTCCCCTGCTACCTCTTTTAATTATTACATCCCCGTCTGAGGACAGGTTGGCACTACTGCTGCACTGAGCAAGTAAGAAAACTATATGATCAAAGAGATCATGTAGCTGTCCAGATCTCCTAATTCTCATGATAGTTGGCCCACTGTTTCCCCATCATACTACAATCACTTCACACTTTTAAATCATAGGTAACTGTTTTTAAAAGGACTTTTGGTTTGGTGCCCCCATGAATGAACCTGCTCCACTGAATCTGCTAAACAAATCTGGCATGTGGCTTAGGGTGTGGAGAACCTGGTGAGTACAGTCGAGGCTATATCCAGTGGAAAATGTAAAGATATACAAAAGTGGAGTTTTTTTTTTTTTTTTTTTGAGATGGAGTCCTGCTCTTGTTGCCCAGGCTGGAGTGCAATGGCATGATCTTGGCTCACTGCAACCTCTGCCTCCCAGGTTCAAGTGATTTTCCTGCCTCACCCTCCCAAGTAGCTGGGATTACAAGCACCTGCCACCACGCCTGGCTAATTTTTGTATTTTTAGTAGAGACGGGGTTTCGCCATGTTGGCCAGGCTGGTCTCGAACTCCCGACCTCAGGTGATCCACTCGCCTTGGCCTCCCAAAGTGTTGGGATTACAGGCGTGAGCCACTGTGCCCAGCCTAAAAGTGGAGATTTTTATCATGAGCCCACCACTGTCTCCAACAATTATCAACTTGTATGTGGCTAGTCTTGTTTCTTTTATATCCTCATCACTCTTAGATATTATATCATGTTCTATTGCTCTTTGCATAAATTAAAGGTCCTTACAAGGGCTCACAAGATCTTACCTGATCTGGTCCCTACCCACCTTGATATTCTCACCTTGATGTCCTCAGCTTACCCACATGGGCCCTCCTGCTGTTACATCCAATATACTAAATTTGCTGAAGCCTCAGGGCCTTTGCTCTTGATGTCCTGTCTGCTTTGAATGTCTCAAGTCTGCGTCTTCTCTCAGCATACACACCACTCATCAATTTGAGGTCTGTCCTGAAAATTTGACCTTTACAGAGAGACATCCCTTGACCATCATTATAATTCTTGCTCAATCTCTATCTTATCTCACTGTTTTATTTCAAATAAATATTCCTGATGTTTTCTTATTTTTTGTTTTTACTAAAATTAAAAAAAATCTGGCTCCCTCCCTGTCCCTAGAAACTCCTTGAAAGCAGAAGCCTTGCTGTCACAAGCACTGCTATAACCCCAAAACAGTGCCTGGAACATAGTAATATGCAAAAAAGGCCTGTTCTGATGAACAGGTGAATCTCGGATTGGGTCTAGTACTTCCAGGTACATTATGGATTTCTTTCCAATCTTCTCATTTCATGAGGGTTTTTGATCATCATCCTTATTTATCAGCAAGGTGTGCTATGTGTGCTTTTTTTTTTTCCTTTCTTTCATCTTCTTGTCTTTCCCCTCTGTCTTAGCCCATTTTCTGTTGCTTTAACAGAATACCTGAGACTGGGAAATTTATAAAGGAAAGAGGTTTATTTTGCTCACAATTCTAGAGGTTAGGAAGTCCAAGATCAGGCAGCTGCATCTAGTCAGCTTCTGGTGAGGGCCTTGTGCTGTGTCATAACATGGCAGAAGGCATGACAGGACAAGAAGGGGCACACTGAGAGCCAAAATGGTTTTTATGATAGACTCACTGACATGATAACTCACCCACTTCTGTGATAACCTATTAATCCATTAATCTGTTAATCCATTAATCCATCAGGAGAGTAGAGCCCCCATGGCCCAATCACCTCTTAAAGGCCCCACCTCTTAAGGCTGTTACATTGGGATTAAGTTTCAACATGAGTTTTGGAGGGGACAAACATTCAAATTGTAGCAGTCTCTATCCTATTCATTTGTGCCTTTGCTTCTAGAACAGTGAGTCTGCTTCCAGACTGGATTGAAGTCTCATAAACCATCATGTTCTCCTTTCAGGTTTGGAATTGGAGACACATCATAAAACTTTGGGGTGATTCTGGAAGTCCTAAAAGGAACCTTATCTCCTGACATTAAATTCTTCTTATTATTTTATTAGGGTATACTCTAAGTTGTGAAAATCTCGTGATGCACAAAGATAACTATGAGTAGAAGTCTATTTTATTTTCTTCTTTTAGGACCTAAGAAATAAATCCATTGGTAAAGAAAATTAAAAATAAAATAGTTTGGGCAGAAATAATTGAGTAATGTAAATGAGTGTCATTTCAGAGGTTAGAAGGAAAGCTGGCTGACCTTGAAAGGAATCAGCATGAGAATATGTTCTGTACTCCCCGTGAAGCAATCAGGACAAGTCTAATAAGACTTTGATCCAGAGACTGGGACGAACACAGAGGCCTGCAAATAAGGGAAGCTGTAAAAACTGTGTATTATGTTGTGTAGAAGATGTGTGATATATCAGAAAAGGTCTGGGTTTTCAGTTGGTTAGACCTGGGTTCAAACTCCTGCTTTGTCAAGGTCCTGCTGGGTGACCTTGGGAAAATGATTTAACTTAACATTCTGCATGCCTCAATTTCCCTTTCCTTTCCTCAATTTCCTTTCGTGTAAAACACAAAAGCATTATTTCTCATCCAGGAGCATCATGAAAATTAAATGTGTAATATATGTAAAGCCATCAGTATAATACCGAGCACACCGGATGCATTTGATATGTGGGATTTATTATTATATTTGTTATAATTATTTTTGTTGTTATATTATTCAGACATTTAGCTTAGCTAACATATATACTTCCTTTCCTGCTGACAATAATTTGCAGCATATAGGGCAAATGAGCACTACCTATTGAGCAATGGGAAACAGCACTCTCCTTCGAGACATACCTCTGTTAATTTCTAATCATCTCTCCCTACTTTTATTTCCTTGGCTGAGAGGAATAATTAATTATTCCTTTGCATTTAGGATACTGAGAAGCACCCACAGGAATAACCTGGTTGGCTGAAATGTCTTGGCCAAATGCACCCTGAAAATTTGTGAAATGCATTGGCATAAATCTGGGGAGAAGCTCATGTAAGCAAACTGAACTGAGCCTGGCTCAGTACCAACTCTCAGCGCACGGTGCTGTTTCCGGCAAATGTCTTTGAAAAACCTGTGGTCTCCAGACAGCTTGGCTGTTCCTTGGATACAGTGATTAGGAGCCATACAGCAAGGGAGAGAGATTGTATGTAAGGTTGTTTGTGAACTGAGGCAGGAGACCTGATTTTTGCTTTTCAGTGGAATTTTATCTGGTCCATCTTTTTTTTTTTTCTTTTTTGCAGAGATGAGGTCTTACTATGTTAACCAGCCTGGAGTCTTGCACTCCTGGCCTCAAGCAATCCTTCTGTTTCGGCTTTCCAAAGTGCTGGGATTACAGGTGTGAGTTGCTGCACCCAGCCTCTGGTACCTCTTTTTATAAGCCAACCCAAGCGACAGGGTTTTTCCCTGTTGTCCAGGCTGGAGTGCAATGGTGTGATCCTAGCTCAATGTGGCCTCACACTGCTGTGCTCAAGTGATCCTCTAGCTCCACCTTCCCTAGTAGCTAGGAGGTCCTTCATGTCCATAATGTGGAAGTTACCCATTCCAGTATATAGATTATGTGCTGAGAATTTGGAGGCTGCTTCCATCAAGAATATCATATTATGCCAGGCGCAGTGGCTCACGCCTGTAATCTCAGCCCTTTGGGAGGCCAAGGCTGGTGGATCACCTGAGGTCAAGAGTTCAAGACCAGCCTGGCCAACGTGGTGAAACCCAGTCTCTATTAAAAATACAAAAACTAGCCAGGCATGGTGGCACACGCCTGTAATCCCAGCTACTTGGGAGGCTGAGACTGGAGAATCACTTGAACCTGGGAGACGGAGGTTGCAGTGAGCCAAGATCACGCCATTGCACTCCAGCCTGGGCGACAGAGTAAGACTCTGTCTCAAAAAAAAAAAAAAAACCCAAGAATATTATATTACTTGATTAAGAATTCTGCATGAAGAAAGTCAACCATGAAGAATGAGAAGAGTGTATACCTTGTAAGTCATCATTCCTTTCTTAACACCGGTGAAATGAGATGGAATTTTTCTGTCTTGGATCAGCTGAACTTGTGGGTTTTCTCTGGGTTAGGGGAGACAGGATGCTTTAAAATGACATTTTTCTATTTCTGGATGATATGGTGCATGAAATAACTTAAAAAACTCAAGTGGGTGTGTGTGGGAAATGAGTGGCTATGCAGATGAAACAAGATTGCATGGGTGATAGTCTTTGAAGCTGGTTGATGAGGACATCCAGATTCACCATATTTACGATTCTTTCCATATAAAGTTAAAAATGTCAGTTCTCTCAGTGTTTTCTACAGGACATTGGGGAAAAAAAGAGGGAGGTGAATGCTGTAATCAAAATTTTGAAAACAGAGTTTGGAAAACACTAGATCCTTTCCTTGAAAGCCACAGTGCGTATTAGCATGTTAAAGACTTAGGATTACTGCATTAAAGAGACCTTTTAAACACAGTTTAACCCAGTTCTATTCCCAAAGCTAACTTGACTATTGAAACTGATTTTTTCCCCATGTACACCTGTTAACAACTTGTCAAACTAGCATTTCATGGGTCACAGGCACTTCAGTTAGTCCGAGAACAAGAACCAAGGACAGTTTCCTCCTCTTTCTGCTGAGAACAGCTTTTCAGAATTGGGGAGGATTTATTTTTCTCGGATCACAGAGGAAAAGCAAGGGAACCACCTGCTGATTCAGAGTCAAGCTAATCCAGCAAACCTTACAGGGGGATCTCAGACTAGCTCCATGTGCTGGGTTATATACACACAGCAGGAAAAGACCATGTCTAGTGATAAAGGGAAAGGCATCCGGGGTCAGAGAGCCTGGGTTCAAATTCTGTCTCCACCATTCCATCTGTGTGACCATGGGCAAGATGCTTAACCTTTTTGTGCCTCAATTTCTTCATCTATAAAATAGGAATAATAAGTTTTACAAAACTTTATAGAATGGTTGCCAGATTTGGCAAATAAACATACAGGATGCCCAAATATTGCATGGGACTAAAAAATTATTTGCTATTTATCTGAAGTTCAAATTCAAATGGTCATCCCATATTTTATTTAACGACCTTATTTTAGAGGATTGTTGACAGGCTTATGTGATACAATTCATATTGAACACTCAGAACAGTGCCTTGTAAGCACTCAATTGCAGTAAGTACTTGCAGTAAGCACTCAATTGACTATTGGTTATTATCATTAATATTACCACTTTAGTTATGGGCATCTTTTAAAACAATTCTGGTTCTCCTAATAATTTTCTAAGAGTTATCTCATTTGTATAAATTAACCACTTATAGTCAAATATTCTCTTTAGTCAATAAAAATAAGAAACTGATGTTTATTGGCTTAAGTACTTAGATGGACGTTGTTTTATAAGGGCCAAGAAAGATGTATTAAATGGCCCTTCATCTACCATTAATGGAAGGAAATCATGGTAGGAAAAAATAGTTAACACTGGCTTTGTGCAATATTTGTTAATTTTTTTAGTTCTAAGAGAGCTAGCTTTGTATTTTGGCTTTCCTCAGGAAAGAATTAACTTGCAGTCCCTGAATATAGGAAACCCACAACAATTTGGTAGTCAAAGGAAGTTAGCCTGGGCTAACTTGGGTAAAACATGGAGGAGGGAATACATCATGTACAGTGAGCTTGGAGTAACTTGGATTTCTCAGAGGACTGCCACTCAACCAGCTTGTCACAGGTTTACAGTATTACAAGCACGGCAGATGCAGTACAATTTCTACAGTCCCTAAACTTGCCTCATGCACATGTTAGCAAGAAAACTACTGATAGAAGTACAAGCCTAGCTCACATGGGTTTCCCTAAAGAAGGCACACAGTATTATATATTTTTTTTCTGCACAGAAGTCTGACAGCTGGTGAATCATTTGTAAATAAATTGATAGTTTGTTTCACTGGGTTTTCTGTCATTGTTGACTCATGACCTAGTAAGGATTTACTGGACTATAAGAATAATGATTCAAATAAGCACATGGGTATCATATTTTCTGTAGAAAGTAAAGAGCTTTGAATATCCCATGCTGAAAAAAAAAAAAGCCTGAACTTTAATTTTTAAGGAAACAGTGACTTTCCTTCAAATTATAAAAATAATTTTTGAGTATTCTTGACAGAAAGAAAATTTACCTACTTATCAGCCCACTTTCACTATCTCAAATAAAAAAATGTAGGGAAGAGAAAGAAAACGAGAGAGGAAAGGCAAGAAGCAGCTTAGAGGCTTAGAGGCAGAGAAAGAGTGAAACAGAAGGAAAAAAAGATACAGAAACAGAAAATCAGACTCTTAGGTAACATGATGAATCCCCTTCACTTTGCAAACCCTCTTTCCATCTATTTTCAAACAATGTCAACAGTATATTTTCTTTTCTTGATATTATGCATCAGCCACCCCCCACCTTTTTTCATAACTGGTCACATGTGCCAATGATTTTAATCGTCAACTAAATCTATATATCAGAAAATCATCCTAAAATTCCAAATTTAGATTCACTTTTATGCTTCAAGGTTGTTTACAAATAGTTGTTCTAATTTCCTGATAAACAAAGGTGAAAGGACTACTTAATTCAGAAAATGACTGTTTTTTGGCTTGCAAACAAATAATGATTAAATTGAATGAAGCCAGCTCTTGGTACATAAACAGCGCCAGCTGTGGTTTCTTCTGGACTGGTGTGGCTGTCAAAAGGAATCTGAATTCAAGGCAGTTGTAAAGTAAGTAAATAAATAACATCAGCAAAAGCAAATAAAAAGCAACCCCTAAAAAAACAGCGACCAAAAAATATTTTTGTTAGGACACGTTAGGTCTTCATTAAGAGGAACTTGCAAAACTTGATTATTCACTTTCTGAGTTTGAACAGAGCCTGGTCTCTGGGAAACAATCCAAGGATAAGATGAAACCTGACGCTTGCCTTATCAGACTTTGCTGGGAACACAGTTTTAAGGAAAAAGCAATGAGAAAAGTCTACTTACCAAAGTCACAAACTTCAACTCCTTGGCTAGTACACTTCGGTCTAGCCAGAAAAAAAGCAGAAACAAGAAGCCAAGGCTAAGGCTTGCTGCCCTGGCCAGGAGGAGGGGTGCAGCTCTCATGTTGAGGAGAGCTGTTTCTGGCAGGAGTTAGGAGGAACTGCTACCACTTCAAAAGCCTGTAGAGGGGAAGCTATTTAATTAAGGGATTGAAAGGGAAGGAGGAGCCACACTCATAAGTAGTAAAGTTTCCAGGAAGCGTAGGGCAGGTTTGGTATGTAAATAATGTCATGTAAATTTTGAGCTGAGAGAGATCACAGTTTCCCCATTTAAGTTAGGACACCAAGGCCAAGAGCGGGGAAAGCTGTTGATCAAGGTCACAGAGCATGTTAGCAGACATTTCTATCCTTGTTTTCAGTTTACTTTTATCTTTGTTTTTTGTTTTTTTTTTTTTGAGACAGAGTCTTGCTCTGTCATCCAGGCTGGAGCACAGTGGCACAATCTCAGCTCACTGCAAACTCCGCCTCCCAGGTTCAAGCAATTCTCCTGCTTCAGTCTTCCTGAGTAGCTGGGATTACAGGCGTGCACCACCACACCCGGCGAATTTTTGTATTTTTAGTAGAGACGGGGTTTCACCATGTTGGTTAGGCTGGTCTCCAACTCCTAACCGCATGATCCGCCTGCCTTGGCCTCCCAAAGTGCTGAGATTACAGGCATGAGCCACTGTGCCAAGCCAGTTTACTTTTATCTTTTCTTTAGATAGGGTATGATACAGCGTTGGATTTGTGGCTGTCACTTGGGAAAGGGATCTACCCTGACTTTAGAAACCTTAGACCAGTGATTCTTAATCTGTTGGGAGTCCAAAGTTATAGGACTGAAATCTGGAAGGAAATACAGGTGTTGACATATTTGGGGCCTATTTCCATGCCAAACATGGCTACTTTTTCAAAAACTCTCATGTAGCCTATAGAGGTATTTTTAAATTAAAGAAGAAAAGTAACAGCAAGTTTATTTTGAAAAATTTTAGGCTGGGCGTGGTGGCTCATGTCTGTAATCCCAGCACTTTGGGAGGCCGAGGTGGGCAGATCACTTGAGGTCAGGAGTTAAGACCAGCCTGGCCAGCATGGTGAAACCCCATCTCTACTAAAAATACAAAAAAAAAAAATTAGCCTGGCGTGGTGGCACATGCCTATAGTCCCAGCTACCTGGGAGGCGAGGCAGGAGAGTCACTTGAACCCAGGAGGTGGAGGTTGCAGTGAGCCGAGATTGTGCCACTGCACTCCAGCCTGAGTGACAGAGCAAGACTCCATCTCAAAACACAGCAAAACAAACAAACAACAACAAAAAACAAACAAAAGAAAAATTTTAGTCACACCTTAAGACAATTGGACATTACCTGTGGTATCTCAAAATTAGATTGGAGGTCCCTTTCCAAACCTGACAGAGTTTTTTAAGAAAGCAAAAAGCCCAAACCTACAATTCTATATTATTAGTCATCAACTTTGGCCATAAGCCTTAAATTTTGAGTGAGTTACATCCTTGCCTCTCCAGCTATGATCTCACTGGGGACACTACAAAAGGCGATCCAGACTGATGGAACTTTGCTTTCCATTTTCCCCAACCTGTCAGTTCCATCATAGGCTAAAACAATACAAACTTGAGGTGCACATTGAGATTTTGCAAGATTTGGGGGCAGAGCTGCCTGTCATGATATTTCTATCATAATGGCAGAGGGAGAACAATGGTTTACCCGCAACCTGTTTCCTGGTACATTGCGCTTACCTGTGGCAGGAGGATTGTGTTCTTATGTGATCATAGGATGCCCTGGAATGTGGTATATGGGAGAACTGTTCCTTCTTCCGGCAGTAGGAAACATGCGCAAATAGGCTGGGCATGGTGGCTCACGCCTGTAATCCCACCACTTTGGGAGGCTGAGGTGGGCAGATCACTTGAGATCAGGAGTTCGAGACCAGCCTGGTCAATGTGGTGAAACCCCATATCTACTAAAAATACAAAAATTAGCCAGGTGTGGTGGTGGGAGCCTGTAATCCCAGCTACCTGGGAGGCTGGGGCAGGAGAATCACTTGAATCCGGGAGGCTGAGGTTGCAGTGAGCTGAGATCACACCACTGCACTCTAGCCTGGGCAATAGAGTGAGACTCTGTCCCCCCTCCAAAAAAAAAAAAAAATGTGCAAATAATAAATGCATGTGTGATTAGGATTAACCATTCAAGGGAACTTGCAACTTTCTCTTTGCCATCACATTCTCGACCTGCCAGTCTACACTGTCAATTTTAATGAGTAAGATTTTGAGGAAATGGGTGCAAGAAAAAGGAAATAAAAATTGGGAGGTTTTCCAGTCCAGGGCATACATGAAGTTGATACATTAATCCCTGCTGTGTGCACCAGGCAATCTGAGAAAGGAAGCTCCAGCACCTATGTACCATTCACAGGCAAATTTCTGAACCACATTTCTTAAATTGTGCCAGATGTCTGCTTCTATTGAATGCCTTATTTTCTCAGCTATCTGCCTGGGTCCTTGTTCTATCTCCTTCCTTGTCTCACCCTTGGACTGGTGCTTGGAACTATTTCAGCAATAGCCTTAGACCTTCCTGATAATGAAGACTGATTTTATAATCTACCTATACCATGTTGCACTGGTTGGATAAACCCTCTTTCTGACCTAGACCCTAATTTTTTCTGTGGTACCGCCTGTGGGGTCCTTTTAGCTCTTCAAGTGAGAAGGGCAACAACAACAAAGTTTTCTTTGAAAACCAGAAAAAGCCTGCTTGAATTGAATACATCTCAACTCAAACTTAATCCAAGTTGAATTAAATGGTTTATACTTCTATCTCAATCATCATCCTCACTTCCACTTTGATCATTCAGTTATAAGGGGAGAAGAAGTATTCAAAGTCATAAATGTAGAGTCTTGAAAAACCTGAACACCATGAAATGGAGTGTAAAAGATCCTCAACTCAGATGAAACCTGTTTTAGAATGTTCTGTGGCACCTTGAACTTTGAACTCAATAAGGTCTTTGCAAAGACATAAGGGTCATCTGGGATAAATATATGGATATAGTATGTATTAGTCCACGTTCATACTGCTTTGAAGAAATACCTAAGACTGGGTAATTTATAAAGAAAAATAAATTTAATGGACTCAAAGTTCCACATGGCTGGGGAGGCCTCACAATCATGATGGAAGGTGAAGGAGAAGCAAAGGCACATCTTACATGGCAGCAGGCAAGAGAGTGTGTGCAGGGAAACTGCCCTTTATAAAACCATCAGATTTCATGAGACTTAATCACTGTCACAAGAATAGCATGGGAAAAGCCCTCCTCCACGATTCAATTACTTCCCACCAGGTACCTTTCATGACATGTGGGGATTATGGGAGTTACAATTCAAGATGAGATTTTTGTGGGGACACTGCCAAATCATATCATAGTAACATCAAAAGTGAGATTTGAAAAAACACTGGGAAGTCTTTATGTAAGAGTTTAGGGTGTCAATAATTTTCCATGATTAGTAGGACTTACTGACTGAATCACTTGTGTTCTCTTGTTGTACTTCTTTCTCTATATGTCAAGTGCTCAACCTCAAATGAACTGTTCTAATGAACAGTTAGAAAGTTCCATAAGTGGAGCAGGTTAGGATTTTTGAAAATCAGACTCCCAGATAGATATTTGCATGTAGGAAGTTTATTAAGGAGTGCACTCAGGATTAACTCCAGTGGTGGGTAGAGAAATAACCAAGGTTGGGCAGAGGGAGAAGTTGATTTGTAATGCAATATTGTTGAAGATGTCAGCTGACCCTGTTACAAGTTCTGAAGATAGGAGGGCCTTTCAGGGTTGTCTTGAATTGAGGTGAGGAGCCAGGCCTTTTTTATTAGCCAGTCATTGGACGTAGTCTGCCCCTGGTAGGGAGTATGACCATGGATAAGGCAAAGGTGACTCTCTTCTGCCAAAATAATTCCCAAAGGGGTTGCTAGCTGAGTGATGTCAAACAAATTTCCAAGAGCTAGGAGCAATGAATCCTTGGGCAGTGTAACACAGAATCTATGATGATGAACACTTATAGGAAAAAAATTGTGATCCTTAGTAGATCACAGCCTATGAAAGCACTAAATATGCCTCTGACCATAAGAGTCTGAGTTGGGAGGTGAGATCCATCAGTAAGTATATGGCTGTTCACCAGCATCACAAGGAAGACTGTGTTTAACCTGTCTGGCTTCTTATGGCCTTCATAATTGTATTATTTGACTCTCAGGGCCTTATGAACTATTGGGTACTCAATAATACTGATTGACCAACTGTCAATATAAATGCAAATGACTGCATCAGAGCCCTGTTACAATGTGAATTGCTTTGAGGCAAAATTTAATAAGATGGCTTTAGAATAAATGTTCTCCTCTTCTCAAACCATCATTTTGTGGAGGGCCTTTTTGCCCTCGGCATAAAATAACTATTTTATTGTTTAGTATTTAGACAAACATCCCCCATAAAACCAAAGACTGTATCATAAGAATGTCATCAACTAAGGTGTGTGTACCTAGGGGATTCATGCAATGGTCTAACACTTTAAAAAGTAAAGAAAGTGTTAAAACTTTTATTTCTGTTTATTTTTTTACCTAAGAAAGAAAAAAAAGATTTACAATGGAAATTTATTCACAATGGACTGTTTTAAAATGGGCTATTATTTGGCCATTAAAAAAAGATCCAAGTACTGATACCTGCTACAACATGGATGAACCTTTAAAATATTAGGTTGATATTCCTTCTAAAATAGAACACATATTTGTATGATTCCACTTGTATTAAATGTTCAGAATAGAAAGATCTTAGGAAACAGCCTAAGATTTTTTAAAGATTGCTTAGGACACGGAGAAAGGAGGCGGAGGGTGATGATGGCTGAGGGGTATGTGGTCTCTTTTTGGGCTGCTAAAAATAGTCTAAAATTGATTGTAATGATACTTGCACAACTCTGACTATACTAAAAACTATTGAATTGTACACTTTAAATGAATGAATTTTATGACATCTGAATTATATTTCAATAAAGCTGTTATCTAAATAATTTACCACAAAATAAATATTCCAATATTTAATATAAGCATGGCAATAGAAGTATATCCTTAATAAATGAACACATATCTATTACTTGTAATACTGATGGAGTCCATGGTTGAACCAGTTTAAACATTACTGAATAAAATTAATATTAATTATAAAATATAATTTATATATATATATAAACTTAGAGTATTAAAATTATCTATTGCTGTGAAACAAATGAACACAAACTTAGTGGCTTAAAACAACACACATTTCTTATCTTACCTTTTTCCTGAATCAGGAGTCTAAGTATAACGTAAAAGGCCTTTTTGCTCAGGATTTTTCACAAGGCTCCAATCAAGGTGTTAGCCAGGCCTGGGATCCTGTCCCAGCTCCTGTGGTTGTTGGCAGGAATCAGTTCCTTGCAAGCTGTTTGGGGGCCCCAGTTCCTAAATTGCTGGCTGCTGCGTAGAAGCTGCCTTCAATTCCTTGCTACTTGGGCCCCTCCAAGAGGGCTGTTTGAGTCATCAGAACATGCAAACTAAGGCAACAGAGAAACTTCAGAGATCATCTTTCCAGGACTTCATAAAATTTATCATGTGTAAGGATTACCCAAAGAGTTTAATAAAAAACAGACTTCTCCTGGGCCTCACTCCTGGAAATTCTGATTCAGTGGGTTCAGGTAAGATGAGGAATGATGTCCCACTAATACTTAATGGTGCCTAAGGCAAAAGGCAAAAATCATTAAACCAATCCTGTCATTACATAAAATTTTGATATGTTGTTTATTATGGATTGTTTAACATTAATTTTTATTTTTCAAAATTTTGCATTAAAATATTCCTTCTTTTGATTATAGGTTTTTGGTACACCTTAAGTGTTGAGCCCAAGGAGAATGCCTCACTCACCTCACACTAATTCCCAGCCGTGACTCTAAGAATTGGAAGCTGGAGATAACATACTTTTTCCTTTTGAGATGAAATGATCTAACTTTCTCTGATTCTCTCTACGAGGAAATGCAGGCTTGGGTGAGGTGAATCCAGCTTTGGCTGACTGTACTGAGGCACTCAGGACTGAATGGGACTCAGGACTTTTTGTCTTTTAGACTGAACAGAGCTGACCTCTAGCTACTCCTCGGACTGTCATTACTTGCATAGAGCTAGCCCCCTCATGCTTCATGTGTGTAACAAAGCTGCTTTTCTCACAGTCAGGAGGCAAACATTGGCCTATTACTATTTCACCTTTAATACAGGCTTACAGAATGAACTTACAAAAATATGATGTAATCTCATTTTGTATAAATGTGTATCAAAGAAAAGACAGAATAGAGATGGGCCAATATTTTTAATGGTGATTTTTTTGGGGGGTTGATGGGATTATATGTGTTTTCATTTTCTTTCTTCTACTTTTCTCTACTTTCCAAATGTCTTATAATGAATAGATATTTTAATTAAAATCAGAAAACAAATTGTAAAATATCTAGCATTAACTTCATGATAATTCTCATTTGAGTGAGTATCAGAGTTATAGAAGGTAGGCCTAGAAAGCAATTCGCTTCATAACACTGTTCACCTGTCTTCACATGGGCCAACTTCTAAGCCATTGAAGAGAGAACTTTTTCTATCTTCTGCTCCAGTTTCTGACCCTGTCCCTCTCCGCTTTTGTTTGATATGTCTTATATTAAACAGATAACTTCTTGTAGTAGCATGAAAGTACAAGAAAACACAATAACTATTTAGAAAGTCCTGTTTGTCCTTAAGAACTTCTTAAATCAAACCAGGTCAATGGCCTATTAAACATATTCCACCACACTTAGAATAAAATCCAAAGCCCTCCATGGTATATAAGCTCTGCTTATATTTGGCTCCTATGACCTCTTCAACTCACCTCCCATCAGGCTTCTTTTGCTTACTCCATTCTAGCCACACTGATCCCTTATGTCTCAAACGAGCCACATGTGCTTCCACTTGATGCACTTTGCATTGACTGTTCCCTCTGAGGGAACACTCTTCCATCAGATGGGCTGATTCTCTCACTTCACCTCTTTGGATGGCTTTCCTTGAGCACCCCAGTTAAAAGAGCAGCTTCCCCAGCAATCTCTATCATACTGCAGCAGGACAAGCTGCACACAAAACCCCTCAGACACCGAGTTAAAGAAGAAAGGGCTTTATTCAGCTGGGAGCTTCGGCAAGACTCACGTCTCCAACAACCGAGATCCCCGAGTGAGCAATTCCTGTCCCTTTTAAGGGCTCACAACTCTAAGAAGGTCCGCGTGAGAGGGTCATGATCGATTGAGCAAGCAGGGGGTATGTGGCTGGGGGCTGCATGCACTGGTAATTACAATGGAACAGAACAGGACAGGGATTTTCACAGTGCTTTTCTATACAATGTCTATAATCTATAGATAAGATAACCGGTTAGGTCAGGGGTCAATCTTTAATTACCAGGCCCAGGGCCTGGCGCCGGGATGTCTGCCTGTGGATTTCATTTCTGCCTTTTAGTTTTTACTTCTTCTTTCTTTGGAGGCAGAAATTGGGTATAAGACAATGTGAGGGGTGGTCTCCTCCCTTACTCCCCCCACTTTGAAACTCTCACTCAATAGTGGGAGTTCTCACTTTCATTTTTGCTACCTGTGTCTTCTTGCAAGACAGAATGACAGTGATTCATATAGTACACTTGTGCTGAAGCACTTTGGTGAACTAAGGTAGTGATGAAGCTTTTTTTCATTTGAAGAAATGCATGTAGCAAACAAGGGAGCAGTAAGAAGGTTTCTATTACTATTATAACTCCTATTATAAGAGTTTTAAATCTCTTTAGCGCTGGGAATCATTTTCCAAACATGGCCCTAGGATCAAATCTATGCCACACTTGCATGGGCACATGTGTCAGTTTTGTCATATTTCTAACTATGTCTTCAACTACTTGCCCTTAATCATCTATGTGTAGACAGGAATTAGTAAGGTTAAATTTTCTGCAGACCCTTCCTTCAGCTGCTAGCAAGTAGTTGAGAGCCAATTTATTTTGATAGATAGCATTTCTTATCTGAGTTTCTTGCCAGGCCAGAATAGTCAAGGCTCTGCCGGTCTTATTAGTGATTATTTCTAAGACAGCTTGTAACCGTATCATTCAGTTGAGCATGTAAATATGGGTTCATGAGCCATCTTGTGCCCAAGTACCAGGCCAATAATATTGTATGATTCTCTCAGGAGGCCATTCATCATCTTTTTAATTTTTTATAGCTATGCTTCTTTTTTGAGGGAAACACAGACAGGGAAGCCCAGGAGTTCATCTGTCTTTATGTGTAGTAGGAAGAAAAATGGCTTAATAGTGCCAATAACACAACTACCTGCCCACTGGTTGGGCAATTTGGCATAAGGTCTATGCCCACATATCCAGTATAATCCAGTGGGGGCTGTCTAACGGGTGGGTCCACACAGTTTTCAACTTTGGGAATTTACTAAATGGATTTTTCTTAGTGTGGTTTGAGCTCCACTAGGTGGCTATTTTTGTAGTATTATTATAATACAGTTTTTGTCCAAAGCAGCTGAGTCTTCCCACAGGAATTGTGAAGTCCTTCCTTACTCTTGCTATACAGTATTGTCTAATGATTAAAGCTTTTAGGACCTAGAAGTTATCAGGGTGATTCTTTTTGGCCGGGAATTCATCAGGGACTGGGTCTGTAGGTACTAATTCTCGGGCTTCCCATGGCCATTGATCTCCCATTACAGTTCCTCTACATACATAACATGAAGTGACATTGAGAGACTGGGCTATGTGCTTAGCTAATTGCAAAAACAAATTTCTTGTTTTTCCTGGAATTTCTGGTACTGGCACATTTAGTTTATCATAGAAGGTTTGAAATACTGGCTCTGGAGAGTGTTTATAAACTTCTCCTCAAACCACAATATTTGCTTGAGGATCCAGTCCAGCCCCATTGATTCCTAGGGTTACATGCTCCCCTTTTTTCCAGCGAGGATTAAGGGGGTTGGTTATTACTAGTTCTAAGGGGTTACACTGACCACTGGTACAGGAAGGGCCACTTTTCCCTTTCTGAAGGTGGACAGGATCCTTTTTATTTTTTATCCAAGTAGCCTAAATGACACAAGACCAGTATCCACATTCATTTCCACACAGTTCTAATTCATGACATATGTACTTATTTTCTGCCATATAGCCTCTTTCCTAATTAAGAGAACCACATCCTATTCCTAACTTATTACTATTAATGACAGCACAGGCATCAAACTTCAAGGTGACTTGTTTGGGCACCCCTTTTTCTTTTGTTTTGGCTAACTCTTTACTCGTATCGTTTATGAGCCCCCACCAGTTCTTAGTCCTTAATCTTGTTTCAAAAACTGTGGTCATGGGAGGCTCAGATGGGTCATAACACACATCAGGTTGGTCATTTCCTGGGCTACATACCTTGCATAGAATAGCATTATACAAACAAGTTTCTTTTTTTTTTTTAGAGTCCTGGTACACTTATAATAATCATAAAATAATAGGACTGTAGCAATTTTTTTGTCCGACCTCAGTGACTTGATGTATACACTGGGAACAGTCCTCAGTCTGAGGAAGGTCAGTTGAAGTCCTTATTGTAAAAGTCCAAATTTTAAGGAAAATGAGTCCCGCGATGAGTTTTTTCATGCTTCGGCCATGTGTGGACCAGTCAGCTTCCGGGTGTGACTGGAGCAGGGCTTGTCATCTTCTTCAGAGTCACTTTGCAGGGGTTGGCAAAGCTGCTCCCGTCCACGTACTGCTCACAGTCTACTGATGTTTAAGAATGGTGTCGGAGGTTGGGCCTGCTAGAATAAACTGAGTCCAACACCTCTAGACAGTTATGTTCAACTGGGCTCTCTGATACCAGGAGCAAGGTGGCGAGGTTTAGGGTGTTGCAAACTTCAATGGTTATGCGGGGATTTTCACATAGCAAGCTTTGGTAGTTGGTTAATCTAGCATTTGTTAACCAATGGTGTCCTTTGGTAGTCATTAAAGTTACTACAGCATGGGGGGCCTTTATATTCAGGTTTTCCTAAGGGTTAGTTTATTTGCTTCTTGTGCTAACAGGCCGTTGCTGCCAGGGCCCTTAGACATGGGGGCTAGCCTTTGGAAACCCCGTCTAGTTGTTTTGAGAGATAGGCCGCTGGCCTTGGCCAGGGCCCCATAGTCTGGGTTAAAACTCTAACTGCCATTTTTTTTCTCTTTTTGACACATAGAGTGTAAAGTGTTTTGTCAGGTAAGGTAGCCCCAGGGCTGGGGCTGACATGAGGTTTTCTTTTAACTTGTGAAAAGCTTGTTGCTGTTGGTTGTAATAGATGTAGTTTATTCAATCTACATTTTTATTAACTGTCACCTACCAAAATATTGACTCAAATCCTGCAGCTATTTGATTTCAAGCTTTAAATTGATATGGTATTCCCTGAGGGACTCCAGTTGCATCTAAATAGACGTGAGAGTCAAAAGATCCATAAAGGGCTTCTCTCTCGCTTTACGATGTCTTATTTTTCCTCCCTCTGGTTTTTGAAATGCCAGGGTGAAAGGGATAGCCAATTGGACTAAAGTATAAGTGCCACTCCAGTTATTCAGCAGAGTGTGCCCAGGAAAGGTCCACCACAATACCACCACACATCCGCTCGGGGATGAACAAGGGCTGACTGACTGATAAGCTCTTGAAACTTTTTAAGCTCACTGCATCCCTTCAGGTCTCCAAGGAATGCTAAGTTTCCTCCCTGTCATGAGAGACACGAAATGAACGTAGTGTTGGGAGACGGAGGCTGGATGGCCCTCAGCGGCTGACCCACAGGGTGCCAGATTTTGGGACATAGCAGAGAGAGCTTGGCACGACTTATTACTCCAGGCTGTAGAATCCTGGAAAAGAGCTACTATGCAGCCCATGCCTGGTTGACTGGAGGACCACCTTAGTGGAAAGGGGACAATCTGGGCCTCTGGCCTGCCACGCGCACAAGCATAACAATTGCTTTTGTTTAACGTGCAGATGAAATATTTGATCCATTCCAACCAGGCATTTGCATCTTGGTATCCTGTTTTAATTGCCAAAGTTTGTTTTAAGTCTTTAACTTCTATGATCCTCTAGTAAAATGAATGTATTTTGGGAAATTACAAAAGCCGGTTTGGGCAGTCCATCCTTGCTCTTTAGTGGTCCACAGAATGTTGGACCAACTATGGCATAAAAGCTCTATGTTGAGGAGCAAACTCCTGGTTGACACTGGAGTCTTTATCAAAATTTCCCTAGATTAAAACGTCCTAATTTACTAATGCCCAGTCTGAGGAGAGTCAGGAGGGACAGAGGTACTTTTCTGAAGTAGAGATCTGTCTTTGACTTGGCAAGTCCCCACAGGATATAACAAGGCAAGCATTAAATGCAATAGTTGGAGGCAAAATTGACTTGGTTATGTTAATAACCAGATGGTCAACAATAGAGCAAGGAAAGAAGAGTAATAGAAGAGATGAAAGAGTTAAATTTTTCTTAGCTTTAGTTTGGTAGGGTTTTCCCCTGGGACTATGGCCCACGACTCTGGAGGGGGTGGCACTTTGACTCGGGTGTGATGAGTTCATCCCTTTTCCGCTGTACGAACAGCAGTCTCGGTAGTTAGCAGCACAAAGTAGGTTCCTTCCTAGGCTGGCTCGAGTTTTTCTTCTTTCCTCCCTTTGATGAGAATGTGATCTTCAGGCTGGTGCTGGTTTACTGGAAATTCTAGGGGCGGTACCTGTGCTAAAAGACTTTTAGTTTTGAGGGAAAGGAAAGTGGAAGATAAACCAAGTATATAATTTCTAAGAAACTGACCTTTTGTTTTAAATGTGGGGACATTAGCAATGGATTTGATAGTCCTTGGTGCCTTTCTGCTGAGAAATTTCCTTTAGCATCTATTTTTTATTAGTTTTTAGACCAAGGAAAGCCAAACACCATTTTATATTTAATAGTGCTTCTTGTATGATTTTTATACCAGATAAGCTAAATTTCACCTTTATATTGGTGTGCTATTAATGTTAAACTTAGTTTTAATAAAACTTTGTGTACATATTTATTCAATTTTTAATGTTGGACCATGAGGTAAGATTTTTATAGACTCTTTTTAACCTTTTATAATCTTTGTTAAAGAGCAGGTTAGTGCTTTAAGAAAAACCTGTTGTGTTTTTACTTTAATGTCCAGTTCACAGAAAAACTGGATGATACCCCTTTAACTTTAGCTAATATGTTTACACACAGAATTTTTTTATATATATAAAATTAAAGTTTTAAAACTTGCTTAAATCTTCAAAACAAAATTTTTTTTACCCTTTTAATGTAGGTAAAAATTTATATTCTTATGCTTCCTTATAATCCTTTTACCAAAGGTATATTTTGCTTTCCTTATACACCTTGCACATAAACTGTTTTTTCAACAGTTTTACATTCAGGAGGCCTAGTTACTTTTAAATTATACAACATTTCTTGCATAAATTTTTTTTTATAAGTTTTTTTCTCTTTCATGACTTTCACAGACAATTCTTTGACATGCCTCAATTTTCTGACTTATTACAAACATTTCTTTCTTTAAACAACCAATTAATTTATTTCAGGACAAGATTTTACCATATAACATCCTTTTTACATAA
Source organism: Homo sapiens (assembly GCF_000001405.40). Taxonomy (NCBI): domain Eukaryota; kingdom Metazoa; phylum Chordata; class Mammalia; order Primates; family Hominidae; genus Homo; species Homo sapiens. Next base: position 132,304,905 of record NC_000003.12, on the reverse strand, counting down.
GTTCTGCCCCCCTACTTTTTTTTCCCCATTTTTTTTTTGAAGATGATAACCATTGTTTTCCAAAGTAAATTTCTTTTATGTCTGTGGACTAGATTGTCTAAGGCCACAAGATTAGAAGTTACTATAATACATGGTACACTGTTAACTTTTAGCAAACTTTACCTTTGTTGAAAACCTTGTAAGTTTGGGTTTTAATTATCCTTTGCTATTAATAAGACCTTGTTTTGTCCAAATTAACTTAGAATTTATATAGGTGGCTTTTTTTTTTTTAATCTTCAATTACCTGGGAGGAACCATCAATCATCCTGTCCTGAAGGGAGTTCCTCCTAGGTCTGGTCCGACCTTTGTGTTGTAATTAAGATTTAGATCCCCTGTTAGGAAACCTGCTGGGTTAAGGGAATTTTCAGTGGTTAATGTTAAGTCATCCTCGTTTTTTTTTTTCTTAGGATACTTCTGAGTTGGTGAGGTGTGCTAACAATGAGGTTTCCTCTAAAAGTTATTTTTTTTACTTTTTTCTGTTAGCAAAGCAGTTGCTGCTACAGATTGAATGCATTTGGGCCATCCAAGGGTTACTGGGTTAAGGATTTTTGATAGGAAGGCCTCAGCGCTTTCGGGATACACCCTTGTTTACACTGACAACAAAGTGGTATTGGAGTGTTACAGGGTTACAGAGAATTCCTTTAATTATCAATTATAGGTTTTAAATTTACCTTGGCTTTTAAAGGAATAGGGTACACTGTTTTTTTTTCTTAACTACTTGTATATCTCTCTCTTTCTTTCTTTCTTTGATTTTCTATCTCTTTTTCTCTTTGACTTTCCTTTTGCCTCTGTCTCTTTCTCTCTCTCTGCCTCTCTCTTTCTCTGTCTCTCTCTGCCTCTCTCTTTCTCTCTCTCTCTGCCTCTCTCTTTCTCTCTCTCTTTCTCTCTTTCCTTGATTCCCTCTTTGTCTCTCTGTCTCTTCCTCTTTCTCTCTCTGCTGGTCTTTCCTTGCCTCTGCCAGCCACTTATGCTGCTGTTAGACCACTGTGGCAGGGGGTTGGTCTAAAACCAGCTGTAACCAAGCGTCTATGTATGGGAACTGGTCTGGGTGCCCTGGCTTACAGGTTACCTTGTGCCACGCCTTTGAAACAAGGGACCTGTCCAGCCTTCTTTCTGATGGCCAATCCACCTCTAATGCTGGCCAGTCTATTTCACACAAAGTTCTAAGTTTTCCTGGTGTCATAGTAAGGGAGGAGACCACCCCTCATATTGCCTTATGCCCAATTTCTGCCTCCAAAGAAAGAAGAAGTAAAAACTAAAAGGCAGAAATGAAATCCACAGGCAGAGAGCCCAGTGTCACGCCCTGGGCCTGGTAGTTAAAGATCAACCCCTGACCTAACCGGTTATGTTATCTATAGATTCCAGACATTGTATGGAAGAGCATTGTAAAAGTCCCTGTCCTGTTCTGTTTCATTCTGGTTACTGGTGCATGCAGCCCCCAGTCACGTAACCCCTGCTTGCTCAATTGATCACGACCCTCTCATGTGGACCCCCTTAGAGTTGTGAGCCCTTAAAAGGGACAGGAATTGCTCACTTGGGGAGCTTGGCTCTTGAGGCAGGAGTCTTGCTGATGCTCCCAGCCAAATAAACCTCTTCCTTCTTTAACTCGGTGTCTGAGGAGTTTTGTCTGCAGCTCGTCCTGCTACATTTCTTGGTTCTCTGACCGGGAAGCGAGGTGATTGGCGGATGGTCGAGGCAGCTCCTTAGGCAGCTTAAGCCTGCCCTGTGGAACATCGCTATGGGGGACTCCGATCAGCCCGAGTGATGCAGATCCTGAGAGCACTCCCAGATAGGCATTTGCCCCAGTGGGAAGTCTTGCCAGAGCAGCGCGCGGCAGACCCCCATGGAGGATCAATGCAGTGGCTGAACACCGGGATGGAACGGGCACTTGGAATCTGGACATCTGAAATTTGGTAAGACTAGTCTTGAGAACTTGCCCACTCCATTTGAGTGGAAGCATGGCCTGATCACCCAAGGTGTGCCTTTATCGGCACTTCGGTTTGATTTTGGTTTTGGTTTTGACTTGGTTTGAATTGCTTGACAGGACCGGTCTTGGGAACTTGCCCACTCCATTTAAGTGGAAGTGTGGCCTGATCACGCATGGCATGCCTTTATCGGCACTTTGGTTTTGGTTTTGACTTGGTTTGAATTGCTTGACAGGATTGGTCTTTGGAATTTGCCTACTCCATTTGAGTGGAAGCATGGCCTGATCACCCATGGTGTGCCCGTACCGACACTTTGGTTTTTGTTTTTGACTTGACTTGGATTGCTTGATGCTTTGGTTTTGGTTGTGACCTGGCTTGGATTTCTGGATACTCTGATTTTGGTTTTGATTTTAATTTGGTGTAAACTGCAAAACTGTGTGTGTGCCCTTTTTACCTGTTCTTTGTTTTGTGGTGTGCGTGTGGTGTGAGTGTAGCGTTTTGTCTCAAAGAAGCATGGGTCAGGCACAAATAAGCCCAGCTTACTAGGAACTATGTTGAAAAATTTCAAGAAAGGATTTAAGGGAGACTATGGGGTACTATGACACCAGGAAAACTTAAAACTTTGTGTAAAATAGACTGGCCAGCATTAGAGGTGGGTTGGCCATCAGAAGGAAGCCTGGACAGGTCCCTTGTTTCAAAGGTATGGCACAAGGTAACCTGTAAAGCCAGGGCACCCAGACCAGTTCCCATACATAGATGCTTGGTTACAGCTGGTTTTGGATCTCTCCACAGTGGTTGAGAGAACTGCAGCATAAGCGAGGCAGAGAGAGAGAGACAGAAAAGAGAGAGAGGAAGAGACAGAGGCAAAGAAAAGTCAAAGAGAGAGAGATAAAGTCAAAGAGAGAGAGAAAGAGAGATATATACAGGTAGTTAAGAAAAAAAAACAGTGTACCCTATTCCTTTAAAAGCCAAGGTAAATTTAAAACCTGTAATTGATAATTGAAGGTATTCTCTGTAATCCTATAATGCTCCAATACCACTTTGTTGTCTGTGTAAACAAGGGCATATCCCGAAAGCACTGAGGCCTTCCTATCAAAAATTCTTAACCCAGTAACCTGCGGATGGCCCAAATGCATTCAATCTGTAGCAGCAACTGCTTTGCTAACAGAAAAAAAGTAAAAATAAATAAATAAATAAATAACTTTTAGAGGAAACCTCATTGTGAGCACACCTTATTAGTTCAGTTCAGAACTATCCTAAATCAAAAAAGAAAAAGGAGCTTACTAACTCAAAAATCTTAAAGTATGGGGCTGTTCTGTTAGAAAAAAAAAGAAGGAAAAAAAAGGGGGGCAGAATTTATATAAAAAGAGTATTATATTGTAAAGTCTTCTCCTGAAATAAATTAACTGGTTGTTTAAAGAAAGAAATATTTGTAATAAGTCTGAAAGTTAAAGCATGTTGGAGAATTGTCTGCGAAAGTTGTGAAAGAGAAAAATGTTATAAAAAAAGAATTTATGCAGGAAATGTTGTATAATGTAAAAGTAACTAGGCCTCCTGAATGTAAAACTAAAAAAAAAAAAAAAAAAAATAACAGTTTATGTGCAAGGTGTATAAGAAAAGTGAAATATACCTTTGGTAAAATAATTATAAGAATACAAATTTTTACCGACATTAAAAGGTTAAAATATGTATATTTTGTTTTAAAGGTTTAATCAAGTTTTAAAATGTTAATGGAAAGAAAATTCTGTGTGTAAACATTGGCTAAAGTTAAAGAGGTATTATCCAGTTTTTCTGTAAACGGGACATTAAAATAAAAGCATAGCAGGTTTTTCTTAAAGCACCAACCTGCGCTTTAGCAAAAATTATAAAAGGTTAAAAAGAGGCTATAAAATCTTACCTTATGGTCAAACATTAAAAATTGGATAAATATGTCTACAAGGTTTTATTAAAATTAGGTTTAACATTAATAACACACTAATATAACGGTAAAATTTAGCTTATCTGGTATAAAAATCATACATAAAGCATTGTTAAATGTAAAATGGTATTTGGCTTTCTTTGGTTTAAAAACTAATAAAAATAGGGGCTAAAAGAAATTTCTCAGTAAAAAGGCACCAAAGACTTTAAAGTCCACTGCCAAGGTCCCCACATTTAAAACAAAAGGTCAATTTCTTAAAAATTATATACTTGGTTTATCTTCCACTTTCCTTTCCCTCAAAACTAAAAGTCTTTTAGCACAGGTACCGCCCCTAGAATTTCCAGTAAACCAGCACCAGCCTGAAGATCACGTTCTCATCAAAGGGTGGAAAGAAGAAAAACTCGAGCCAGCCTAGGAAGGACGCTACCTTGTGCTGCTAACCACCAAGACTGCTGCTCGTACAGCAAAAAAGGATGGACTCATCACACCCGAGTCAAGAAAGCACCACCTCCTCCAGAGTCGTGGGCCATAGTCCCAGGGGAAAACCCTACTAAACTAAAGCTAAAAAAATTTAACTCTTTTCGTCTATTCTGTTACTCTTTCTTCATTCCTCGTCCTATTGCTGACCATCTGGTTATTAATATAACCAAGTCAATTTTGCCTCCAACTATTGCATTTAATGCTTGCCTTGTTATACCCTGTGGAGACTTGCCAAGTCAAAGACAGTTTTCTACTTCACAAAAGTACTTCTTTCCATCCCGACTCTCCTCAGACTCGACATTAGTAAACTAGGACCATTTATTCCAGGGAGATTTCGATAAAGACCCCAATGCCAACCAGGAGTCTTGCCCCCCGATGTAGAGCTTTCATGCCATAGTTGGTCCAATGTTCTGTGGGCCACTAAAGAGCAAGGATGGACTGCCCCAACTGGTTTTTGTAATTTCCTAAAATCATACATTCATTTTACTAGAGGATCATAGAAGTTAAAGACTTAAAACAAACTTTAGCAATAAAGATAGGATACCAAGATGCAAATGCCTGGTTAAAATGGATCAAATATTCCATCTGCATGTTAAACAAAAAGCAATTGTTATGCTTGTGCACATGGCAGGCCAGAGGCCCAAATTGTCCCCCTTCCACTAAGGTGGTCCTCCAGTCGACCAGGCGTAGGCTGCACAGCAGCTCTTTTCCAGGATGCTATAGCCTGGAGTAATAAGTCATGCCAAGCTCTCTCTGCTATATCCCGAAGTCCAGCACCCTGCGGGTCAGCCCCCAAGGGCCATCCAGCTTCCGTCTCCCAACACTAAGTTCACTTCGTGTCTCTCACGACAGGGAGGAAACTTAGCATTCCTTGGAAACCTGAAGGGATGCGATGAGCTTAAGAATTTTCAAGAACTTATCAATCAGTCAGCCCTGAGCAGATGTGTGGTGGTATTGTGGTGGACCTTTACTGGGCACTCTGCCGAATAACTGGAGTGGCACTTGTGCTTTAGTCCATTTGGCTATCCCTTTTGCCCTGGCATTTTATCAACCAGAGGGAGAAAAAATAAGACACCTTAAAGCAAGAGAAGCCCTTTATGGGTCTTTCAACTCTCACATCTATTTAGACGCAATTGGAGCCCCACAAGGAATACCAGATCAATTTAAAGCTTGAGATCAAATAGCTACAGGATTTAAGTCTATATTTTAGTGGGTGACAGTTAATAAAAACGTAGATTAGACAAACTACATCTATTAAAACCAACAGCAACAAGCTTTTCATGAGTTAAAAGAAAAACTCATGTCAGCCCTAGCCCTGGGGCTACCTGACCTGACAAAACACTTTATACCCTATGTGTCAGAAAAAGAAAAATGGCAGTTGGAGTTTTAACCTAGACTGTAGGGCCCTGGCCAAGGCCAGTGGCCTATCTCTCAAAACAACTAGATGGGGTTTCCAAAGTCTGGCCCCCATGTCTAAGGGCCCTGGCAACAATGGCCCTGTTAGCTCAAGAAGCAGATAAGCTAACTCTTGAGCAAAACCTAAACATAAAGTACCCCCATGCTGTGGTGACTTTAATAAATACCAAAGGACATCATTAGCTAACGAATGCTAGACTAACAGATACCAAAGCTTGCTCTGTGAAAATCCCCACATAACCATTGAAGTTTGCAACACCCTAAACCTCGCCACCTTGCTCCCGGTATCAGAGAGCCCAGTTGAACATAACTATGTAGAGGTATTGGACTCAGTTTATTCTAGTGGGCCCAGCCTCTGAGACCATCCTTAAACATCAGTAGACTGGGAGCCGTATATGGATGGCAGTAGCTTCGCCAACCCCTGCAAAGTGACTCTGAAGAAGACGACAAGCCCTGCTCCAGTCACACCCGGAAGCTGACTGGTCCACGCACAGCCGAAGCATGAGAAAACTCATTGTGGGACTCATTTTCCTTAAAAGTTGGACTTGTACAGTAAGGACTTCAACTGACCTTCTGCAGACTGAGGGCTGTTCCCAGTGTATACATCAAGTCACTGAGATAGGACAAAATGTTGCTACAGTCCTATTATTTTACGGTTATTATAAGTGTGCTGGAAATCTAAAAAGAACTTGTTTGTATAATGTTATTCTATACAAGGTATGTAGCCCGGGAAATGACCAACCTGATGTGTGTTATGACCCATCTGAGCCTCCGATGACCACAGTTTTTAAAATAAGATTAAGAACTGAAGACTGGTGGGGGCTCATAAATGATACAAGTAAAGTGTTAGCCAAAACAGAAAAAAAAAGAGGTGCCCAAACAAATCACCTTGAAGTTTGATGCCTGTGCTGTCATTAATAATAATAAGTAAAAAATGATATGAAAACACGGTGAAACCCTGTCTCTACTAAAAATACAAAAAAAAAAAATAAAATAAGATGTGGTTCTGTTAATTAGAAAAGAGGCTATATGGCAGAAAATAAGTACATTTATCATGAATTAGTTCTGTGTGAAAATAAATGTAGATACTGCTCTTGTGTCATTTAGGCTACTTGAATAAAAAAAATAAAAAAAATCCTGTCCACCTTCAGAAAGGGAAAAGTGGCCCTTCCTGTACCAGCGGTCAGTGTAACCACTTAGATCTAGTAATAACCAACCCCCTTAATCCTCGCTAGAAAAAAGGGGAACCCTAAAAATTGATGGAGCTGGACTGGATCTTCAAGTAAATATTGTGGTTTGAGAAAAAGTTTATAAACACCCTCCTGAGCCAGTATTTCAAACCTTCTATGATAAACTAAATGTGCCAGTACCAGAAATTCCAGGAAAAATAAGAAATTTGTTTTTGCAGTTAGCTGAGCATGTAGCCCAGTTTCTCACTCTCACTTCATGTTATGTATGTGGAGAAACTGTAACAGGAGATCAATGGCCGTAGGAAGCCCGAGAATTAGTACCTACAGACCCAGTTCCTGATGAATTCCTGGCCCAAAATAATTACCCTGATCACTTCTAGGTCCTAAAAGCCTCAATCATTAGACAATACTGTATAGCAAGAGTGGGGAAGGACTTCACCCTTCCTGTAGGAAGACTATGTGGTGGAGTTCAAACCACCCAGAGAAAAATCCATTCAGTAAATTTCCAAAGTTGCAGACCATTTAGGCCCACCCAGAATCCCACTGGGACTGGACAGCCCCCACTGGGCTATACTGGATATGTGGACATAGAGCCTACGCTAAGCTGCCTGACCAGTGGACAGGTAGTTGTGTTATTGGCACTATTAAACCATCTTCCTTCCTACTGCCGGTAAAAACAGGCGAACTCCTGGGCTTCCCTTTCTATGCTTCCAGCAAAAAGTGAAGCATAGCCATAGATAATTAAAAAGATGATAAACGGCCTCCTGAAAAAATTATACAATACTATGGGCCTACCACTTGGGCATAAGATGGCTCGTGGTGATACCAGACCCCCATTTACATGCTCAACCGAATCATACAGTTGCAAGCTGTCTTGGAGATCATTACTGATAAAACCGGTAAAACCTTGACTGTTCTGGCCCAGCAAGAAACTCAGATGAGAAATGCTATCTATCAAAATAGATGGACTCCCAACTACTTGCTAGCAGCTGAAAGTCTGTAGAAAATTTAACCTTACCAATTGCTGCCTGCACATAGATGATCAGGGTCAAGTAGTTGAAGATATAGTTAAAGACATGACTAAACTGGCACATGTGCCTGTACAAGTGTGGCACGGATTTGACCCTGAGGCCATGTTTAAAAATGATTCCCAGCACTAGGAGGATTTAAAACTCTTATAATAAAAATTATAGTACTAATAGGAACCTGCTTACTGATCCCTTGTTTACTACCTGTACTCATTCAAATGGCAAAAGGTTTCATCGCTACTCTAGTTCACCAGAATGCTTCAGCACAAGTGTGCTACATAAATCACTATCAATCTGTCATGCAGGAAGGCATAGGTAGTAAAAATGAAAGTGAGAACTCCCACTAATAAAATGAGTGAGAGTCTCAAAGCAGGGGAATAAGGAGGAGACCACCCCTCATATTGTCTTATGCCCAATTTCTGCCTCCAAAGAAAGAAGAAGTAAAAACTAAAAGGCAGAAATGAAATCCACAGGCAGACAGCCCAGCACCACGCCCTGGTCCTGGTAGTTAAAGATCGACCCCTGACCTAACCGGTTATGTTATCTATAGATTCCAGACATTGTATGGAAGAGCATTGTAAAAATCCCTGTCCTATTCTGTTTCGTTCTGATTACTGGTGCATGAAGCCCCCAGTCACATACCCCCTGCTTGCTGAATTGATCACAACCCTCTCACATGTACCCCCTTAGAGTTGTGAGCCCTTAAAAGGGACAGGAATTGCTCACTTGGGGAGCTCAGCTCTTGAGACAGGAGTCTTGCCAATGCTCCCGGCCAAATAAGCCTCTTCCTTCTTTAACTCAGTGTCTGAGGAGTTTTGTCTGCGGCTTGTCCTGCTACAATGGTAACACCGTAATCTCCCTTAAATCCTTTTTTGAAAATTTTCAACATAGTTCCTAGTGGGGTGGGCTTACTTTGTGCCTGACCCATGCTTCTTCAAGACAAAACACCAGGCTCATACCACAAGCACACCACAAAACAAAGAACAGGTAAAAAGCGCACAAACATAATTTTACAGTTTACACCAAACCAGAATCAAAACCACAATCAGAGTATCAAGAAATCCAAGCCAGGTCAAAACCAAAACCAAAGTATCAAGCAATCCAAGTCAAGTCAAAAACAAAAACCAAAGTGCCGGTACAGGCACGCCGTGGGTGATCAGGCCACGCTTCTACTCAAATGGAGCAGGCAAGTTCCAAAGGCCAGTCTTACCAAGTTTCAGATGTCCAGACTCCAAGTGCCATGTCCTTCCTGGTGTTCAGCCGCTGTGTTGATCCTCCACAAGGGCCTGCCATGCACTGCTCTGGCGAGGCATTCCACTGGGGCAATTGCCTACATGGGAGTGCTCTCAGGATCCGTGTCGCTCAAGCTGGCCGGAGTCCCCCGCAGGGATGCTCCACAGGGCGGGCCTAAGCTGCCTAAGGGCTGCCTCGATTGTCTGTTAATCACCTCGCTTCCCAGTCAGGGAACCAAGAAATGTAGCAGGACAAGCTGCAGACAAAACCCCTCAGACACCAAGATAAAGAAGAAAGGGTTTTATTTGGCCGGGAGCTTCAGCAAGACTCACGTCTTCAACAACTGAGCTCCCCAAGTGAGCAATTCCTGTCCCTTTTAAGGGCTCACAACTCTAAAGGGGTCCACGTGAGAGGGTCTGGATCGATTGAGCAAGCAGGGGGTACGTGACTGGGGGCTGCATGAACCAGTAATTAGAACAGAACAAAACAGGATAGGGATTTTCACAGTGCTTCTCTATACAATGTCTGTAATCTATAGATAACATAATCAATTAGGTTGGGGTCAATCTTTAACTACCAGGCCCAGGGTGTGGCACTGGGCTTTCTGCCTGTGGATTTCATTTCTGCCTTTTAGTTTTTACTTCTTGTTTCTTTCGAGGCAGAAATTGGGCATAAGACAACGTGAGGGGTGGTCTCCTCCCTTAATACCATCCTGTTTTATTTTTGTTATAATGTTTTAAATATCAGACATTATGTTATATATTTATTGTTTGCTTGTTTATTGTCTCCCCCATAAGAATGCAAACTCCATGAAAGCAGGGACTTGTTTTATTTACTGCTATGTCCTCATTGCATAGAAAAATACCTGGCACGTAGTAGGGGCTCAATAAATATTTGTTGAATGAATGAATAAATTTTTAGTATGAGCATCCTTACTTATCAACTCCTTTATTTACAACAAAACAGAACAAAACAAACAAAATATGCATATATGTATATACACATATATATACATATATTGTATACATAAAAAAATTTTATGATATATATATCCCAATGTGTTTTGAGATTTCCTTGTAATATCTCTATACTGTTTATCTGTTTATCCTGTTACCAGAAGGATGGGCACTTTTACCCACTTGGATGACTTGCTTTGGATAAATAGTCATGCCAATCTTTATCTCTTGGTTCTGTGACTTTCAAAGCTTTGTGATTTTCTAAGTCTTCTTCAGTAAGGCTGCTGAGTCTAGACTCCCTGCTGTTTTCTGTCAATTGGTGTGTGTTCTGGGAGAATTAATCTGCTGAAGGAGAGACATTTTTTAATTCCATATTTGATCTGAAAATTAACATAATGTCTTCATTTTATTTGATATATCTGTGTTTATTTTAATAAAAATAAAATTTTAAATTACTTATCATGGGGTACATACTCCATGATTATGTTACCCCCACCTCTCTAACACACACACACACACACACACACACACACACACACACACTTTGCTGAATACATCATCTAAGATAAATATACCCTCCTTTAGGAAGTATGGCAATATATTATCCTCAAAGGGGAATTACTGTAAGAAAAAATAGAACCCTTTGTGATGCTTAATGGGAAAAGCTTTGTGATAAGGCATTAAGGCATCCTCTGTTATGTCATAGTAAAAGTAGTAATGTTTTGGCATCCCGAAACATCCTAAATATATCCATTTTATCTCATTTCATTCTTCTTTTTTACATAATAAACTTAATAGAGTTGACAAGAGTGGAAACTGAGCAACCTGACATTCATACTCTTTATCTGAAACTGCTTATTAGAAATAATGTTGAAGAAAGAACTGGTATTCTTAGCATGAGAAAAGCAAAAATACTTCTGTAACATAATTTTGGATATTATATAGATACAGGAAAGAAAAAGATTTTTATACTCCCTATTTTGGAAAATGAAGTAGTGGCTTTCTTTTCTCATCTGTTTAAAATTAAACAATTAAATAATAATTATTGTGGTAATGTACAGACATTAGTGGATTTGACCAGTGATATGGTTTCTACTTGTTTCCCTGCTCAAATCTCATGTCTGAATTGTAATCACCAATGTTGGAGAAGGGGCCTGGTGGGAGGTGATTGGATACTGAGGGTGGACTTCCCTGTTGCTGTTCTCATGATAATGAGTGAGTTCTCATGAGATCTGGTGTTTTAAAAGTGTGTAGCACCTTCCCCCTCACTCTCTTTCTCCTACTCCCACCATGTAAGATGTGCCTGCTTCCTCTTTGCCTTCTGCCATGATTGCAAATTTCCTGAGACATCCTCAGCCATACTTCCTGTACAGCTTGTGGAGCTGTAAGTCAATTAAACCTCTTTTCTTTATAAATTACCCAGTTTCAGGTATTTATAGCAGTGTGAGAATGGACTAATCACACCAGATTATAAAGCTGCATGAATGTTTCAATCAGAAAAGTCTTTAATTCAAAAGGAAACCACAGGAATCACTATTTATTGACCACTTCTTCTCAGTCTCAGAAAGCCTGATAGGAGACTAGGGTTCTGTAGCTGGAGAGTTTTAAAGTTAGTGCTGCTTCCAGCGTAAGGTCAAGAGTCATAAAATATACCCCAAAATATCGGTTGCTAAAATATGCCAATTACTTGATTTAAAAAATACCTCAGCCTATAGAAAGTCTATCAAAAATATGTAATTGATTAATGTGCTTAGTACCACGTTTTCACTTTACAAAATTATTTAATCCACAAAACAATGACTCACATCAAATGACTACCAGTCCACCTTTCTCCAAGTTCCCTCTGGGACAGAGTTACTGTGCTTAATCCTAAATCATCAAATCCATTGTACCTAACTCTGTGGAATGTTTTTTTCTGAGTTAGTTTATTTAGTTGAAGAATTACTATAAGGCAGTGATTTTCAATGTGTTGCTTGGGGGTCCTGAGACCCTTCAGAGGGCCCCTGAGACTCCTTCAGGGAATTCCTGAGATCTAGTCAGGGGGCTTGTGGGGTCAAAGTATTTTCACACCGGCCAGGCGTGGTGGCTCATGCCTGTAATCCCAGCACTTTGGGAGGCTGAGGCAGGTGGATCATGAAGTCAGGAGTTTGACACCAGCCTGACCAACATGGTGAAACCCTGTCTCTGTTAAAAATACAAAAATTAGCTTGGCATAGTGGCACATGCCGGTGGACCCAGCTGCTGGGGAGGCTGAGGCAGAAGAGTCACTTGAGCCCGGGAGGCAGAGGTGGTGGTGAGCCGAGATTGTGCCACTGCACTCCAGCCTGGGCGTCAGAGCGAGACTCCATCTCAAAAACAAAACAAAACAAAACAAAACAAAAAACGTTTCACACCAACACTAAAATATTATTTTCTTTTTTATTCTCATTCTCTCATGAAGATTCACTGGAGTTTCCCAGAAGCTATGTGATGTGATGACATCATTACTCTCATGACAAATTGAATGTGTGCTTATGTATTCTTGTGTTTTAAAATTTTTTCAGTTTTAATTTTGAATATTGTAAGTATCAGTAGACACAACCCATATTAACTAAAGCTGTTAAGGATCCTCAATAATTTTTAAGGGTATAAGGGGGTCCTGAGACTAAATGTTTGAGAACTATTGCTATAGATAAGCTAATGATTCAAATGTTTTATTCATTCAACAAACATTTGTTGATTTTCTACTATGAGCAGTCCTTGGGAATGCCAAGGTTGAAAGACAAAGTCCCTGCCTCAAGGAGAATACTATGTTGTAGGAAAAGATAAACAATTATGAGATAAATCCAACAAAACAAGCACAGAATATACGGTTGCTCAGAAGAGAAACATTCATTTAATCATTTATTAACCTGGTACTTAGATCAATGAAAAAGACATGAAGGCATGAGGGAGCATGATGTGTCTAGGGAATTGCAAATGGTTTGATGGGGATATCTTGATGGTAATTAATTTCTTTAAAAAATAGCTCATTTCTTTAGCTATTATTGGTTATTTTGCTGTTGCTGTTATTATTATTGGATCATATTCAAAAGGATCCACTGAGTGCTATGTTGTAAATGTTTAACAACTGGCTCTGAAAAAAAGTTATAATTTTCTATAATTTGCAGCATTTTTCAATTTCCATGGTGAAAATACTCCTACTATGGCTGATTTGAAGCTACCAACATGATGTGACTTTACATGGAGGTGGAAAGAGACGGGCACACCATTATACAATATTCCCATTATGCAGACACAAGTGAAAATAACTTCAAGAGCATAAATAATAAAATGCAGTAAAATAATTTGTAAGTGATGAGTTTTGAGTATTCTTACCTTCATTTTAAATATAATTTATTTTAACATTTAATTTTTAGTAATGGCTGCATTTAACAACCAGTTGGCAAAATTACTGAAAGTTTAACAATTGGTTATTGTAAACCAGTACAAACTGGCTCCAGCCCACCACTGGATCTACTATAACATTAGTAATACATTGTTAATTATGCTGTTACTACAGTTTCCTCGTTTTGGAGGAGGAGGAATATGGGACATCCTAACTGAGAGACAGATGGGTAATTGTAAAACTCCAGTTGTGGGTGTGGTTGTGAGATGATGTGGGTGGCAGAGGAAGTTGTGCAAGAGCTTCAGCAAAAGGGTAAGGAATGGCAATTATGAAGGCAAGGTCAGAGAGTGAACACCAGATGTTTCGCCTTAGAAGAGAAAGAGAGGAAGAGAGGACACTATTTATGGAGTGCCTACTGTATGTTGTGCATGTGCCAGTCTCATGGCACGTTGTATTTCATCTAATCCTCATAACATACTTGAAAGGCAGATAGCTAAGTAGCACTGTGTAAGAAGACAAACTCAGGTCTGGCTAACTCCAAAACCGTTATTATTATTTATTTATTTATTTTTGAGACGGAGTTCCGCTCTGTCACCCAGGCTGGAGTGCAATGGCATGATCTTGGCTCACTGCAACCTCTGCCTCCCGGGTTCAAGTGATTCTCCCGTCTCAGCCTCCTGAGTAGCTGGGATTACAGGCACCCACCATCATGCCTGGCTAATTTTTGTATTTTTAGTAGAGATGGGTTTTCACCATGTTGGCCAGGCTGTTCTTGAACTGCTGACCTCAGGTGATCCACCCACCTCGGCCTCCCAAAGTGCTGGGATTACAGGTGTGAACCACCGCACCCAGCCAAAATCCTTATTCCTTTGATGTTATCAAACAAAGCTAGAAAGTTTACAAGAGAGTGGAATAGTGGTATCTAGAAGCAGAAGCCAAGGAGACAAATATGGAGGCTGGGGGATGTCACCAACAGCACAAGATCACAATGTATTGGACCTGGGAAGGTAACTGCTGGACAAGTCAATCTTCAGCATTCTGAAACAGCTTCCTACAAGGAATGTCTATGGCCATCGACAGAGAGGACATCCTGTTATAATGAAAGAGAATTCCCCTCTCCTTTTTCAGGAAATGCGAAGAGCTATGTGAACGTACCTTCAGCATCACAGGGATCAATGCCATAGTTAAAGGAATATGTTATAAGTAAAGCGCTTGAATTCAGAGCCATAAACATCTGATTTATGGTGGTCTATACAAAATTCCAACAAGAAAGGAGGAGGAAAGTTCCCAGGGAGATGTTTCTTCTCTCTGCTTTATTTCAATCATAGCTGCTATTAATGGTCTTCTTCAGCTTCTTCTCTCTGTTTTCCCTTCAATAGACACAAACAAGTTATTGCTGTGGACCCATAAATTATTGATCTTCCAGAAGTCTCCCCTCCTTCCATTGTACCTGCATCTCATGCTTTCTTCCTCACACCAGCCCCTAGACAGCATGAGAGCTGTTGGCCTTGCCCTGCACTTGGTTAGTGTGCTGGTTGGCTCCTCCAGAAAGCAAATGCCAAGACAGTTAGAAGGGCACTCAATTTAGTAGGAGTAATGGCTGATAAAGGAGTAGGGAGGGAAAGCCTTCAGACTATAATGCAGGTCCAATAACTGGGAAAGGAGAGTGGGAAGAAGGAGGATTGGGTCCGGAGAGCCTCAGATTAGTGCAACCCAGAGAAAGACAGCCTGCAAAATGGGGGCTCCAGTGCAATAGAGGAATCTTGAGTGGGGCAAAAAATGTTCAGGCCTGGTACCCCTGCCATGCTTAGTCATCTGGAGCTACCAGAAAAGAATGTGGCCTCAGGTCAAACACTAGAGTAGATCCCAAAGGCACTGCAGCTGGAGGATGTCAGCTAACTGCTCTCCTTGGAATTTATGGGCAAGTTTGTTTTTGAAAGCATATCTGAGGATCACACCTCCCTGGTTGTTTCTGTGAAGGGCATTTTTTATATTCTTGGCTTGGCATTGATGGGAGGAACAGTGGGGTCTCAGTCTAGGTAATGGGCTCCTGACCAGAGTCCCCTTCTCAGCCTCCAATGTTGGAACTTTCTTTGAAGCCTGTTGTCCACTATAGTATTCAGGATTCCTTTGGAGGCAAGTAACAGAAATCTAATCTAATCTGATTCATTTTAGGCAAGGAAAATAATTTTTTGCTTCATGTTACTGAACAAAAGAAAGGGAAAAGATCAGTGGGAACTTGGAATAAAACTGCCACTGACGTTCATCTATTCCATTCTTCTTTGCTCCCTGTTTGGCTTCAATTTTGTAAACTATGTATCTTTCCAATTGAAGCTAGGGCCAAGGCTGCTCTAAGCTTCACCTAAGAAGAAAGAGCTCTTCTCCTTCAATTTCAGTTGAAAAAACCTGGTTTTTATTTCCATGCCTATTGCCTCATATTCATTCATCCAAAAAAATATTTATGGAGTGCCTATATGTGTCGGGCACTGTTCAAGGTTCTTACAATGCTGAAGTGAACAAAATAGACAAGTTTCTTTTTAAAATGAAATATATTTTAGCAGAGAGAGATAGTAAACGAGTAACCAAATAAATAAACAGGATAATTTCAGATAATGATGAAACCATCCCTATAGACTTCAGAAAGTTAATCAGAGTAGAAAAGAGGGGGAGAAATAAAAATAAAGCAAGATCGCAGCACATTCACCATTAATCATGAGGTCAGCTTACTCTCTGACCTGCCTACTAAGAGTTATTCACTGCCTGTTACCCCAGAATCACACAGACCTGTCACCACTTAACTGTTCTGTAGATAACAACTTAAACATTGTGAAATGTTGTTTTCCATTTGAGATATTCTTTCAGGTCCTGCATACCAGTGAAACTATTGATGTCAACTGGTCTGAGGGACCTCACTGAGGCCCCATGAAAAGCTGACTTAACAAAGAATGCAATTTCCACATCCTGATTATTTCATTACGCTTACCTGACCAATTAATGACCTCAATTTTCTAGGCCCTTGCCCTCCATGATCCCCTTAAAAACCCCAGCGCAGAACATCTTGGGGAGATGGATTTGAGTCTCCTCCTATCTTTTCACTTGACCACTCTGCAATCATTAAACTCTTTCTCTGCTGCAAACCCTGTTGTCTCAGCCTATCAGTCTGATACTGCACAGCGGACATACAAACCCATTGGTCCTGTAACAGTGAGAACTACAGTGAAGACAATAAAATAAGGTGACATGACTGTGAGTGACTTGAGGTGGGGGATACTTTAGATGAGTGGTCAGAGAGGGTTTCTATGAGGTGACATTTGAGGTGAGACTTGAATGCAGGAAAGGGGAGAGCCATCAGAGCATCCCAGGAAGTGTAAAAACCCTGAGGCAGGGAGTGAGATTGTGGTCTCAGAGGAAAGAAAAAAGGCCAGAGTGACTGAAGAATTGTAAAAATGGGAAAGGGCAGGAGCAGACAAGGTCAGAGAGGTAGGAAGGTGTTGAATCACCCAGGATCTTGTTGAGGCCATGGTGAGGAGTTTGGATTTATTCAAAATGCAATGGGAAGCCAAATGGGGAGTTCTAATCAGGGGAGTGATATGCATTAAAAATTCTGTGGCTGCTTGTGAAGAATGAATTATGGAGAAGCAAAAAAGGGAATGAGAACAGCCAGGAGGCTACTGTAGTGGCCCAGGAAACAGATGATTGTAGCTTGGATCAGGGTGGATTTGGGGAAGTCAAAAGAAGTGAATGGACGAGAAAAATACATACTAGTATTGGATATGAGATGTGAGGGAGAAGGGTGAGAAAAGGAAAAAAGGAAAATAGCTCAGAGCAGTCTGAGCTATGTGAGATATGCAGAATTTATCAGGCTCAGAGAAACATGAGTATGGGACTTCAGTCACCTTCTCCGCTATGTCTGGGACAATTGTTTAAAGGTATTTTGTTCTTGACTAGCTGCTACATCCATTTTCTTCCTGTTTTTGTGATACAAAGAACAATATATAGCCAATCATTAGCTTATGTTATTTTAATGTAAATTCTTGGTAAACAACTTAGGAACTGCCTCTTCTTTTACTCCTTAAAACTTCAACTAGTAACTGCTACTAATCAGGGTGTATATTTATGGCAACTTGAATCTATGCCCCCATGTGGCCATCCTCAAGCTTTGGACTCCTATAAACTCTATACTTAATTTTTCTGGTCCTCATTATTTAAGGCTAACGGGAGAATCAAGGGGCACTCCTAGGCATTGGGCTTCAGAAATTGGGTGAATGGCAACAAAAGTGTCAGACACAGATGATGAAGCTTCAGAGAGACACAGGTTTATCTTATTCATTTAAGACATACTTTTATATCTCTTACTATCCTGGTTCTCAACCTTAGCCTCACACTGAAGTTACCTTAGAATTAAAAAAATAGGCTGCGTGCAGTAGCTCATGCCTGTAATGTTAGCACTTAGGAAGGCTGAGGTGTGAGGATAGCTTCAGCCCAGAAGTTCAAGATCAGCCTGGGCAACATGGTGGAAGCCCCATCTCTACAAAAAATAAACAAAGGTAGCTGGGTGTGGTGACTTTCCCCTATCTATAGTCCCAGCTACTCAGGAGGCTGAGGTGGGAGGATGGCTTGAACCCAAGATGGCTGCAGTGAGCCATGATTGTGCTGTTCTTGGATCTCACGCAAGAATTTGAGGCATATCCATAAAGTGAAAACAAGTTTATTGAGAAAGTAAAGAAGCAAAAGAATGGCTACTCCATAGGCACAGCAGCCCCAAGGGCTGCTGGTTGCCGATTTTTATGTTTATTGATTATATGCTAAACGAGGGGCGAATTATTCATGAGTTTTCCAGAAAAGGGGTGGGCAATTCCTAGAACTGACAATTCCTCCCCTTTTTAGACCATATAGGGTAACTTCTTGAAATTGCCATGGCATTTATAGACTGTCATGGCACTGCTGGGCATATCTTTTAGCATGATAATGCATTATAGTTAGTGCATATAATTAATGTACATGTCTTTGTGACCTGTACTTTGTGCCAACCTTTTATCTGATCCTGTGACTTAGAATGCCTAATCTCCTGGGAACGCAGCCCAGTAGGTCTCAGCCTTATTTTACCCAGCCCCTTTTCAAGATGGAGTTGCTCTGGTTCAAAGGCCTCTGACAATGCCACTGCACTCCAGCCTGGCTGATAGGGCAAGAGCCTGTCTCAAAACAAAATAACAACAATAAAACCCTGTGCCTAATTAGTTATTAGAGAATTTTTTGGAGATTTTAATTTAATTGCTATGGTATATGGGCTGGATATCAAGATTTTTAAAAGCCACAAGTGATTCTAATATGCCTTAAAATTTGAGAAGCACTGACTCATTACCTGGCTGGTTCTGTTTCAAATGCTTTACAGGTGTTAATTCGTTTAATTCTCATAACAATCATGAAAGTTGATCATAAGAATTGGGTCATTCTTGTCACTCACAACTAAAACAGAGTTGAGAAGCCAGGGGGAACAAGCACGCAGGGTACAACATTGCTGAAAGAATGTAATTCTCTGCAAGCCCAAACTGCTTGTTGTAACCTGAAACCAGTTTTATCTCATCTTCTGAGATAACGTGCTGCAAAGGCTAGCACTAATTGTGCCCACAGCCACCATTCACCAGTTGAAGCTTTCTGACTCCCTAAATTCTTTCTTATGCCAATGAACTTTCTCAAAGAAGAATACATAACATTTCTCCTTTTTTATAAAACTGATATCGGAATAGGGCAGGGAAGTGCTGGGCGGAGAAGGGCGGGTCCCTGGCGAGGGCTCCACCCCCAGGCCTGTGCCCACGGACCTAGGTGAGGACAGGCATTTGTTTTCAGGTCCAAATGTTACATTTCCCAAGACCACCCTGGCCCACCATGCCCCCATCCCCCCATCCTGTGCCTATAAAAACCCTGAGACCCTAGTGGGCAGACACACCAGCGGCTGGACATTGAGAGGATCACAGCAGTGGAAAAAGACACAAGCACCTAGCCGTTGAGAGGAACGCACTGGCCTAAGAACATACTGACAGACGCCGGTAGGCCAGCAGGGCGGCAGGCCATCAACCCGCGGAAGGACACGGACTTTGGCCAGGGCGGTATAAGGTAAGCCCCGCTGCTGGGCGGCCTGGCTCCAGGGGAAAGCAACCTTCCATTCCATCTCCCTTCTGGCTCCCCCATCTACTGAGAGCTACTTCCACTCAATAAACCTTGCACTCATTCTCCAAGCCTACGTGTGATCTGATTCTTCTGGTACACCAGGGCAAGAAACCCCATGATACAGAAAGCCCTCTGTCCCTGCGATAAGGCAGGGTGTCTGATTGAGCTGACTAGCACAAGCCGCCTACGGACGGCTAAACTGAAAGAGCACCCTGTAACACAGGCCCACTGGGGCTTCAGCTGTAAACATTAACCCCTAGACACTGCTATGGGGTCGGAGCCTCACAACCCGACCGTCTGTCTGTATGCTCCCCCTAGAGGTGTGAGCAGCGGGGCACTGAAGAAGCGCGCCACACCCCCGTCACACGCCCTGCGAGGGGAATAAGGGAACTTTTCTCGTTTCAAAACTGCTAAGCCGTTCTTTGCTATTCGGACATACCCGAAGACCACCAGGTCTGTATGTATGGCCCAAATTGCAATTCTTTCTTCCCAAATAAAATATTAAATTTATGGATTCATCTCTACATGTTTATTTTGACTTTGATATAATTATATGAGAAAGGTACTATTATTAACTCTCATTTTATAGTTGAGGAAATTAAGGCTCAGAAAGATTAAGTTGCTCGTCTAAGGTCACATGACAGAAACGGAGCAGGGATCCCTCTTAGGGCCCCCCTCCCCCCCTTGCCAAGCATGGAAATAGAGGAAAATATTGAGTTCCTTCCGGGGAAATTCTAGGCAGTGAACTAGCCGCCTCACTAGCCCTGAGAAGTAAATAAGCAACTTGATAAGCAAGAAGATAATAGTAGCTGAAAACAATAGCCAAGGTAGTTAGAGTCCTGAGATGTTTGGTTCCCTATAGAAACTAAAGACAACATCTCAACATATGTCCCTGAGCTACTTTTCAGAAACACAGACCCCAGCCAAATGGATCCACTGGCATGTAGACCTCAGATAAGGGGCGATTGAGAACTGAACTCTGACTGCCGTTCTTTTTTCTAAACTTCTTCCTTAGGAGCCTAAAGGACGTCATACCCATGGGCCAGACCTAACATTCCTTTCTGCTGATCCCAAGTTTTTAGACAAAGTTTCCCTTCCTTAACCAATTGCGAATCAGAAAATCCTCGAATCCACCAATGACCTGTAAGTTCCTGCTTCAATATATACTGTCTTTTTAGGCCAAATCAATATATAACCTCCACATATGCCTTAAAATTCTGCCTGTAACTTCTACTTCCCTGAAATTTATCCCTGCTTTTAAAAACTCTTGCTTGTAAGCTATTGCGAAGGTTGGCTCTTACAGTGTGAGCTGCCTGATTCTCCTTGCTTGGTGCCCTGCAGATAAATGCCTTCTTTTCCCCCCTGCTGCAAAACCTTGGTGTAGATGTTTGGCTTTACTGCACTGAGTGAGCAGACCCTGGTTTGGTTTGGTAACATGACTTAAAAATTACAAAGAAAAGGAACAGGAACACAGCTCTCTGGTCCTCTGGTATTTAGAGCTGAAACAGAGGAGGAGGGGCCTGAAAACATGAAGGCAGAACTTAGAAGGGAAACAGGAGAGTGTAGTGTTGCAGAAGCTTGGTGGAGAGAGTATTTCAATGAGGAAGTGGTCAGCTTTTTTGAAAGCCCTGAGTGTTTGCTGAAGAAAGACAGAGACAGAGAAGTGACCACTGGATTTGGCAAGATGAGGTCGTGTTGAGTCTGATGGGAACAGTGCCTGTGGAGTGGTGGAGATGGAAGTACAATCACAACTGATTGAAAAAGGAGTGGGAGCTGAAGATGTAAAAGTAGTAACCACCAAGAACTCTTTGGGAAAAATTAGCTAAGAAAGGGAGCTGAAAACTGGGAGGGGGATGGAGGAGATTTGAAGTTGTGTGTGTATTCAAGTATTAATTTTGTATGATGATAAATAAAGAGTACAGAGGTGGGCACATCAGCTCATGCCCATAATACTGGCGCTTTGGTAGGTCAAGCCAGGAGGATTGATTGAGCCCAAGATTTGGAGGCCAGCCTGGGCAACATAGCAAGACCCTGTTCCTAAATTTTTTTTTTTTTAAATTAGCCAAGCATGGTGGTGTATGCCTATAGTCTCAGCTACTCTGGAGACTGAGGCAGAAGAGGATCACTTGAGCCCAGGAGTTGGAGACCAGCCTGGGCAATATAGCAAGACCTTGCCTTTTAAAAAGTGGGGGAAAAAAAAAAAAAAGGAAGGCATTTTGTTCCTGACTACCTGCCTCACCCATTACTTTCATGTTCCTGGAATTTTTGATATGAAGAACAATGTATAGCCTATCAGTAGCTTATGTGATTTTAATATAAAATACTTGGTAAGCAACTTAGGAACTGCTTCTTCTTTTTCTTTAGAAACCTACTTGTAACTGTAGCTAATCAGAGCATATATTCAGGGCAACTTAAATCTATGTTCACAAGTTGCAGTCTTCAAACTTGGTCCAAATAAAATCTCTACTTACGTTAAGTTGGCCTCAATTTTTTCCTTTAGGTTGACATTCCTTTGATCTTTTAATATGTTGAATTTTTAAATTTCTTCATTGAATCCTTGATCATTTTGCATTTTTTTTAATAGATGTTTTCTTTTTCCATTATTTTATTTTGGATTTTTAAATAGTGTTCATAAAATATTGGTCTATAGTTTTCTGTGTTATTATTTTCAGATTTTGGTGTCAAAGTTATACTGGTTTTGTAAATACTGATTGAATAGCCTTTTTCCCTTATGCTTTGGAACTATTTTAATAACACTGGCAAGCTTTGTTCCTTGTAGATTTGACCGAAGTTGATTGAAGCCCTCTGTGAAATTGTCTGAATTTAGTGTTTTTAAAAGGGTAACCATTTGATCACTTTCTCAGTTTCTTTGTAGTATTTTGTGTCCTTGGTTTTGTCCATCTCTTTTGCTGTCATTTTTGGTAAATTAACTTACATTTAGTATAAACTTGTAATTTATATTAAAATAATCTATTTCATCCAGTTTTTATAATCTTTTAAAATTCCCTTTATGTGCATGTATATTTTTCTCACTTCTAAATGTGTTCATTTTGTATTGCCTTTTAAAAATTATATTAGCCAGTTAAGCTACCTATTTCATTGTTTTTCTAAGATTCAGTTCTTAGATGTATTTATTAGTCCTGTCTCTCTGTTTTTTTTCTGTAATTCATGGTTTTTTACTTTCATCTTTCATGTTTCTTTTGGTTTACTTTAGCTTTCTTCTTCTAAAATGTTTTGATTTAAAAGCTTAATTTAAAAGCTTTGTCAACAAAAAGAGTCAAACTCTATAAAATATTTGAAGAGATTTATTCTGAGCCAAATATGAGTGATCATGACCTGTGACACAGCCCTCAGCCCTCAGAAGGTTGGGGTGCAGCTTGGTTTTATACATTTTAGGCGGGCATGAGACATCAATCAAATACATGTTAGAAATACATTGGTTTGATCCAGAAAAATGATACAACTCAAAGTCAGGGGTGTGGGATTCCAGGCTATAGGTAAATTTAAACATTTTCTGGTTGACAATTGGCTGAGTTTGTCTAAAGATCTGAGACTGACAGAAAGGAAATATTTGGGTTAAGATAAAAGATTATGGAGGCCAAGGTTCCTTTGAAGTCTTATTGTGGCTGCCCTTAGAGATAATAGATGGCAAATATTTCATATTCAGATCTTTAAAAGGTGCTAAACTTTTAGTTAATCTCTAGGATTGGGAGGGCCTGGAAGAAAAAGATCTAGTTACGTTAACAGAGATTCTTTACAGACACAAATTTTCCCCCACAAAGGACAGCTTTGCAGGGCCATTTCAAGATATGGCAAATAAACATGTTTTGGGGTGAAATATTTCAATTTTCTTCCTTGTCTCATAATGTTATGCTAGAGTCAGGTTGGAAAGCCACGATATATAGGGTTAAATAAAACCCATCTGATGAGAACTTATGGTTTATAGGGCATGACTCCTCAGACTCTTTAGATGGGAATTTGGGCAAGATAAAAAAATCAGTTTAGTCCTCAACTCTTTATTGGTTAATATTAAAAATGTTTAAAGTTATGAATTTTTTCTCATGGTTTTTGAGGTTTCCCATAGTTTCTCATGCATTGTGATTTTATTGTTATTTTCTAAATTATTTACAATTCTTTTCTTTTTCCATGTCAGATGGGTAATGTGCGGATGTGGTAAAAAGGTTTAAAAAAGGCTGCCGGGCACGGTGGCTCACGCCTGTAATCCCAGCACTTTGAGAGGCCGGGGCGGGTGGATCACGAGGTCAAGGGTTCAAGACCAGCCTGACCAAGATGGTGAAACCCCGTCTCTACTAAAAATACAAAAAATTAGCCAGGCATGGTGGCGGGTGCCTGTAATCCCAGCTACTTGGGAGGCTGAGGCAGAGAAATGCTTGAACTCGGGAGGCGGAGGTTGCAGAGAGCCGAGATCACGCCACTGCACTCCAGCCTGGGAGACGGAGCGAGACTCTGTCTCAAAAAACAAACAAACAAAAACAAAAAAAAAGAAAGGCACATCTCACACATGAACGTGAAAACCCAGTAATCACTGTTATGAACTACAAAAGGATCTATTTACTTTACTTGATTTGAATTTTTTCTGAAACAAATTCAGAGAGAGTTTTAAAGTTTTTTGGCTGTAGGACACTTTTTTTATTTTTATTAATTTTCAAAGATAAGCTACAGTCTTACTGTAATTAAATTTTTACCTATTTCTCATTACATTTTTAGAAGTTGTTGACTTATGGATTTAGATGCTGCATAAAAATTTACAATAATTAAATCTTCATTGTAGACAGGGGCATTTATCTTGATATAGTGACCATTTTTATAATTTTTTTTCTCCTACCAAAGTGGCAAACTTTCCCCGGTTAACACATAGATAAGCCTTTTCTTTGTATTATTATATATATATATATATATTCTAATCTTCCTCCCATTTTGAGACTGTCCCTCATCAAAACAACCTACATCCCATAGTGGTATGGTTTAAATGTACCCTTTAAAACTCACATTGAAACTTAATCCCCAGTGTGACAGTATTGAGAGGTGGGGTCTTTAAGACATGATTGAATTCTGGGTGTGGTGGCTCACACCTGTAATCCCAGCACCTTGGGGGGCTGAGGTGGGAGGATCACCTGAGGTCAGGAGTTCAAGACCAGCCTGACCAACAGGGTGAAACCCCATCTCTACTAAAAATACAAAATTAGCTGGGTAAGATGGTTCATGCCTGTAATCTCAGCTACTCGGGAGGCTGAGGCAGGAGAATCGTTTGAACCTGGGAAGCAGAGGTTGCAGTGAGCCGAGATTGCACCGAGCCGAGATCGCACCATTGCACTCCAGCCTAGGCAACAAGAGCAAAACTCTGTCTCAGAGAAAACAAAAAAAGACATGATTGCATGAGGACTCTCCCTCAAGAATGGAATAATCCATCCATGGACTAATGGGTTAATGGATTATTATGTTATCATGGGAGGGGAACTGGTGGCTTTATAAGAAGAGAAAGAGAGACCTGAGCTCATGCTCAGCACCTTTGCCATGTGATATCCCGTGCTGCCTCGGGACTCTGTAAAGAAGTCCCCAGCAAGAAGGCTGTCACTAGATGCAACCCCTCGACCTTGGACTTAGCCTCCTGATCTGTAGAAAATAAATTCCTTTTCTTTATAAAATACACAGTTTCAGGTATTCTAAGCAACACAAAATGAACTAAGATGTAATAAACAACCAGATGAATTTATAATTTCTACAGTTTGATCCACAGCTTCAATTACAATGTTAGAGTTTCAGATGTTTTTAGATCCTTTCTTAGCACAAAGGAAAATGTAGAATGTGGAGGAACATATTCCTCATAAAACCAACCAATAAAACTTACAAACGTATAACTTGGACAACAGAGGGAGCAGAAGGCTGCTAGCTAGAGGTTTTCTTAAAGAATCCCCTGGGGAGCTGGTAAGAAATTCATGCTCCTGGAATCTCAAGATTTGGAAGGTTCAGTGGAAGCAGAAATGGGAATTTCAAGCAAGTACTACAAGTGATGTTGCTGAAGACCCATGCTGACCCCCTTAAACACTACTGTAGGGAAAGGTTTCTCATCTATTACCTCCTCAGGAAAGAAACACTTAAACATCAGGAACACGTATTAACTATTTTTTGGGAAACTTGAGGCTATGTTAACATAAGAAATTGGCCTGGCACAGTGGCTCATGCCAGTAATCCCAGCATTTTGGGAGGCCGAGACAGGTGGATCACCTGAGGTCAGGGGTTTGAGACCAGCCTGGCCAACATGATGAAACCCCGTCTCTACTACAAATACCAAAAATTAGCTGGGCGTAGTGGTGGGCACCTGTAATCCCAGCTACTAAGGAGGCTGAGACAGGAGAATTGCTTGAACCTGGGAGGCGGAGGTTGCAGTGAGCCGAGATTGCGCTGTTGCACTCCAGCCTGGGCAACAAGAGTGAAACTCCATCCAAAAAAAAACACCACACCAAAAACAAAAAACAAAAAAACCCATAACAAATTAGCTTTAGGTGAATGTTTGTCTTTTTTCTTTTTTCTTCCAGAGAGACTCAATTTACTAGGCTGATGTTGCTGTCTTTCTTCTCTCCCTCCCTCTTCCCCTATTTTGCCCTTTATATTAGTTTCCTGGGGCTTCGCTAACAAAGTAACACAAACCGGGTGGCTTACATAACAGAATCTTGGTTTTAATATAGAGTATTAAAAGCCAGAATTTCCTGAATATAAAGCTGGTATTTCTTTCTTTTCTTTCTTTCTTTTTTTTAAACCATCCTGCTATATCTCTGCTAAAAGGTATGTGTGAGCCAAAAGTTTAAAGAAATGGCAATTTTATATCTTGGTATTTTAATTATCGACAAATAACATTGTTGTCTATCATGTATTTATTTAACAAGTATTTAATGAAATCTGAAATATACTGTCGGGATCAAGAGCTTGGCCCTCTGATAGTTCATTGAAAAATCAACTCACAATAAGGCAGATAATCAGAGAAAGGTCATACAAATTTATTTAACGTTATACAAAAGAGCCTACAGAATGAAGACCCAAAGATAAAGGGGAAATTGCCCATTTTTATGCTTAGGTTCAACAAAGTATGGACAGCTGTGTAGAGCTATGATTGGACAAAAAGGGTAAGATCTCCTGCTAATGGACTGAGTGGGAAACCAAGCAAAGTCTGCCTAGATTCTTCTTGGCCTCTCTGAGCATTCAGTCCTTTCTTCTGGCTATGGGGCTGGCCCCTCTCTGCAATGGGGGTCTTATGACTAAAACCACCTATGCAAAATTATAACTGAGGGAATTATGACAGTTGTTAGAAATACCAAAATTGTTAGAAATAATTGGTG
The DNA here is from genome assembly GCF_000001405.40 of Homo sapiens. NCBI lineage: Eukaryota > Metazoa > Chordata > Mammalia > Primates > Hominidae > Homo > Homo sapiens. The sequence goes on along the minus strand of NC_000003.12, from coordinate 132,277,830 downwards.
TGGCAAAGAAAAGTCAGCACAGAGACAAAAGATCTCCCAGCAAGGCAATCTTTACTTTCTGCAGAAAGGGTGCTCAATCGCAGATGGAACAATGGTGAGAGCACACCTGAACAAAGGAAAAGCGGACATATTTATCCCTTGTACATTTGGATCGTCCTTACTGCTGTGTCCGGCATCCATTGGCTGGAGCTGAACCTCACAATCTTTTTTTTTTTTTTTTTTTTTTTTTTTTTTTTTTTTTTTTGAGACGGAGTCTCGCTCTGTCGCCCAGGCCGGACTGCGGACTGCAGTGGCGCAATCTCGGCTCACTGCAAGCTCCGCTTCCCGGGTTCACGCCATTCTCCTGCCTCAGCCTCCCGAGTAGCTGGGACTACAGGCGCCCGCCACCGCGCCTGGCTAATTTTTTGTATTTTTAGTAGAGACGGGGTTTCACCTTGTTAGCCAGGATGGTCTCGATCTCCTGACCTCATGATCCACCCGCCTCGGCCTCCCAAAGTGCTGGGATTACAGGCGTGAGCCACCGCGCCCGGCCGAACCTCACAATCTTAAACTGATACCCGATTTGCTAATAGCCTAAAACTTTCCTAAATAGGTAAGTGCAAGGAAGAACAAAGAAGTTGCTTACAAAAGGTTTAAGGAAGCAATAACATTTCCAAATAAGGAAGGGGCATAGACTGTGAGCTGGAACATGCTTGTGAGCATGTCCAACAGTTACATAGGATAGGGCTTAACAAAGAGTTATTAGCACAAAGCAAGGAGGCTTGAAGAAAGTTAGTCTTTACAAGAAACTGCCATTTCTAACACTTATGATTTATTCTTTAACAAGATGGGGAACTTTGAAGAGGAAACTTTTTACTTTCTACAACAGAAAGAAATCAGACCTAACCGACTCCATCTTGCTTCTAACCTTTAAGCTGTCCTTGTTCACTCCTGGGGATAGGCCGAACTGACTTTGGGAAGGAATTCAGTTCATGGTTTGACTTAGCGGTCATGCAACCTGGCTCCAAGAGTCTGAACCTCCCCAAATTGCTCCTGGGGGTAACATCACTATTGTGAAACCTAAGATCAATGCTGGAGATATTTTGCAGACCCTGCACTGGCTGGATCAGCTGACACCACTCAGACCTGGCTCAACCAGTTCTGCCATCCCACCCAGTAACAGAAAACAGCAAGAAAAACTCACTTCAACCCTCTAGGATTCCATCTCCAACCTGACCAATCAGCACTCCCCACTTTGCAACCCCCTGCCGACCAAATTATCTTTAAAAACTCTGATCCACTGAATGCTCAGGGAGACCTATTTGAATAATCATAAAACTCCAGTCTCCTGCACAGCTGGCTCTGTGTGAATTACTCTTTCTCCACTGTAATTCCAATCTTGATAAATGGGCTCTGTCTAGGCAGCAGGCAAGGTGAACACATTGGGCAGTTACATGACCTGTAGTCAAACAAGGCAAGTCAGATAATTTCTCTATGGACGGGGTTTTTTTTTTTTTTTTTAGGTGGAGCCTTGCTCTGTCACCAGGCTGGAGTGCAGTGGTGTGATCTTGGCTCACTGCAACCTCCACCTTCCGGGTTCAAATGATTCCCCTGCCTCAGCCTCCCGAGTAGCTGGGACTACAGGTGCATGCCACCATGACTGGCTATGTGGCCAATTTTTACACAGAAAAACAGAGAGAAAATTAGAGTAATATTTTTAGGTTTTATGGCTGGCATTGCGGAAAAGGGGTTCTGGTTTCTATGAACCGCCTTGGGGAAGAGGGATAATAATTTCTATGGCCCACTTTAAAGTTCATATGGAACCAAAAAAGAGCCTGCATTGCCAAGTAAATCCAATCCTAAGCCAAAAGAACAAAGCTGGATGCATCACACTACCTGACTTCAAACTATACTACAAGGCTACAGTAACTAAAACAGCATGGTACTGGTACCAAAACAGAGATATAGACCAATGGAACAGAACAGAGCCCTCAGAAATAACACCGCATATCTACAACTATCTGATCTTTGACAAACCTGAGAAAAACAAGCAATGGGGAAAGGATTCCCTATTTAATAAATGGTGCTGGGAAAACTGGCTAGCCATATGTAGAAAGCTGAAACTGGATCCCTTCCTTACACCTTATACAAACATTAATTCAAGATGGATTAAAGACTTAAACATTAGACCTAAAACCATAAAAACCCTAGAAGAAAACCTAGGCATTACCATTCAGGACATAGGCATGGGCAAGGACTTCATGTCTAAAACATCAAAAGCAATGTCAACAAAAGCCAAAATTGACAAATGGGATCTAGTTAAACTAAAGAGCTTCTGCACAGCAAAAGAAACTACCATCAGAGTGAACAGGCAACCTACAGAATGGGAGAAAATTCTTGCAACCTACTTATCTAACAAAGGGCTAATAACCAGAATCTACAATGAACTCAAACAAATTTACAAGAAGAAAACAAACAACCCCATCAAAAAGTGGGCAAAGGATATGAACAGACACTTCTCAAAAGAAGACATTTATGCAGTCAAAAAACACATGAGAAAATGCTCATCATCACTGGCCATCAGAGAAATGCAAATAAAAACCACAGTGAGATACCATCTCACACCAGTTAGAATGTCAATCATTAAAAAGTCAGGAAACAACAGGTGCTGGAGAGGATGTGGAGAAATAGGAACACTTTTACACTGTTGGTGGGACTGTAAGCTAGTTCAACCATTGTGGAAGTCAGTGTGGTGATTCCTCAGGGATCTAGAACTAGAAATACCATTTGACCCAGCCATTCCATTACTGAGTATATACCCAAAGGATTATAAATCATGCTGCTATAAAGACACATGCACACGTATATTTATTGTGGCACTACTCACAATAGCAAAGACTTGGAACCAACCCAAATGTCCATCAATGATAGACTGGATTAAGAAAATGTGGCACATATACACCATGGAATACTATGCAGCCATAAAAAATGATGAGTTCATGTCGTTTGTAGGGACATGGATGAAGCTGGAAACCATCATTCTCAGCAAACTATCGCAAGGACAAAAAATCAAACACCACATGTTCTCACTCATAGGTGGGAACTGAACAATGAGAACACATGGACACAGGAAGGGGAACATCACACACTGGGGCCTGTTGTGGGGTGGGGGGAGGGGGGAGGGATAGCATTAGGGGATATATCTAATGCTAAATGATGACTTAATGGGTGCAGCACACCAACATGGCACATGTATACATATGTGACAAACCTGCACGTTGTGCACCTGTACCCTAAAACTTAAAGTATAATAATAATAAAATAAGAAAAAATAATTTCTATGGCCCACTTTCGGGCAGAATGGGTCTGGGAGACAGGAGGTCAGGAGAAGATCAGAGAAAAAACTTTTGATTCTGAGGCCTTCATTTGTTTTCTGAGCCTCAACAATACTAGGCACTGAAGTAGAAGCTGGTGATATAGAGAAAAACAAAGCACATTCACTCTTGGGAAATATTTCTGAGTGAGGCAACTTAAATCAGATAAACTAATAATTACCTAACTTGTGTGTGCCCAGAGTGTGCAGAAAAGAGAGAAATTAGTTCTGTGTGTACATCTTGCCCTGAGCTTCATAGGCCTTCTTCCCTTGTTCTCTGAAAAACTATGTCCCTCTTAAGTGAAGCTACCCCAGAACTTGAGATTACTTTCCTCACGTGACCATAAGCTTTTGTACCAACCTTCGTTCCAGCCACTTACTTCTTACCTTCATATAAACTATTGTTTGCTCTCTACTCCCTCTGCTCTTGGTATGAACTCACTGTTCTGAGCAATAATCTGTGTTGTATGCCTTTTGGAAAAGAACAAAGCAGGTTATTTGGAGAGGGTGTTTCTCATGTTCCCAAATAGACCCTTATAAGGTCAATCTATGTTGGCTCCACTAGTCAAGTTAAAAGAACACTGTCCTTTCTGGAGCATCTTTGTTCTTTGTTCCTTTACTTGAGTTACATATCCATAATATAAGAACACTGATCTTTTGATATTCAGCTAACAAAAATTTACTGGGCATGTGTTATGTGCCTAGATCAGTTTTAAGTGCTGGGTATACAGCAGTGAATCATGATGATAAGAATCATAACAAAACAGAAAAAGATCTTGTCTTCCTAGAGCTTATATGAGAGTGGAAGAAGTAGACAATACTCAAACATAAATCTATGATATAGTTTTAGATAGTAACAAGTTCTATGAAGAAACATTAAACAGGATAAAGGGACAGAAACAAAAGATGCTTAGAGATATCAGGGAGGTGTCTTTGAACAGGTGACACTTAAGCAGAGACCTGAATAAAGTAAGGGAGTAAAGTGTGGCTTTCTGAGAGAAGAGTATAGCTGTGAGTATTTGTGGAGGGGAGATAATCTAGAAAAGAGGAAAATATTTGATTCTGCTATTTTGTGTTCCTGGTGTTCTTTGTTTCTTTGGTACAACTGTGGTTTGAGACTGGACTTCATGGGGGCCTGCTTTTACATGGGTTACACGTGATGAGCTGACTGGGTTGAGTGACCCTAGAAGAGCGGGGGAAATTTGATCCCAGGTCTTCGTGTATTAAGTGAAGTTGTCATTCCAGCAGGCCCTGCAGAGCGTGGAAGCTCGGAATTTGAACCTGGGTAATAAATCAGCTGAGTTATATGGTAGATGTCAGAGATCTCCATTTTACTTGTTAAGTAGCTGCGAAGACTGAGGGACATTTTAGAGGTGATAAAAATGTACTGTGTTAAAGTGACTTCCCATAATAGGTAATGATACATTAAGATTTTTTTCCTTTCTGTTTTACCATATATTTTTCTGATTTAAAATTTAAAGAAAATGTTGATTAAGTGCCTTTCATGTACCAGGCATTTTACATATGTGTCTCATTTAATCCTCACAATAATGAGGAAAGAAGGCTCAGAGAGGTTAAGTAACTTGTCCAAGATCACACAGATAGTAAGCAGCAGAACCAACATTGAAACCCAAGTCATTGAAACTTCAAAGCCTGCTTACACAACAGAGCCTTTCTCCGGCAGGGAGTTTTAGCTAAATTAGCTGGTCGGACATTTCCCTCTGAACTTAAAGTTAAAAAGTGTCTCTCAAAGGAGGTTCCTCAAATCTTTGTATTGTATTGTGGGTTGAAGCAGAGGGAATTAGGAATGTTTGATAGGCAGCTATTTTCTAAGTTGATCTTGAGGTAAGTTCATAACTTTGAAGGGAAGTGCCAATTGAATAATAATTCTCACACTACAGAGATGTCCTCTTTTGAAAGATAAAGGCTGACCCTGTTTGACAATATCTCTCACATGTGTTTTTTGCATCTCCTCATCCCAACTCTGCATCTATTGAACTTGAATGAGGAGCCAGAGAGAAGATCAGATTGAGGATATTATGTCTTAAGAGAATTACCACAGTTTAGCTTGACTACCGGCAGAATCTGGATTTGAGTGTGCAATTCAAATACAAATATGTTTTAAGCATCTCCCGTAATTACTAATTGCTCGTTCATTTCTTATATTTTCATCAATGAGTGGTGTCATTTCCCCAACAGTGGTTTGAACTAGAAACCTTGGTGGTGTTCTAGATTTCTTCATCTCCTGAATCCTTGCATATTAGATAGTTACCAAATCCTGTCAAGTCCTATTTCTTAGATCCAGAATCTACTAAGGTGTAGTTAACATGAATCCAGAGTTCAGACCCCAAACTAGCTACTTACTAGTAAGTTAATGAACTTTTGTGCATCCATTTCCTTATCTTTAAATAATACTGTATTAGTTTCCAATGACTGTTATAAGAAATTACCCCAACTCTGGTGGCTTAAAACAATACAAATTCAATGAATAACATCTAGTATTTGAGAGCACAAAAGGGTGACTACAGGCAACAATAATTTATTGTACATTTAAAAATAACTAAAAGAGCTGGGCATGGTGGCTTACACCTGTAATCCCAGCACTTTGGGAGTCCAAGGCGGGCGGATCACCTGAGGTCAGGAGTTCGAGACCAGCTTGGCCAATGTCGTGAGACCCCATCTCTACTAAAAATACAAAAATTAGCCGGGCATGGTGGTGCACACCTGTAATTACAGCTACTCAGGAGGCTGAGGCAAGAGGCAGAGCTTGCAGTGAACCGAGATCGTACCACTGCACTCCAGCCTGGGCAACAGAGCAAGACTCCATCTCAAAAACAAACAAACAAACAAACAAAAAACAAAACTAAAAGAGTGTAATTGGTATGTTTGTAACACAAAGAAATGATAAATGCTTGAGGTGATGGATACCCCATTTACCCTGATGTGATGATTACACATTGTATGCCTGTATTGGTCTCATGTATCCCATAAATATACATACCCACTATGTACCTATAAAAATCAAAAATTAAAAAACCCACAAATTTATTATCTCATGGTTCTAGAGGTCAGGAGCCGAAAATAGGTCTCACTGGGCTAAAATTAAGGTGTTGGTAGGGCTGCATTCCTTCTAGAGGTTCTAGGTGAAACTGCCATTTGCTTGCTTTTCCATTTCTAGAGGCTGCCTGTATTCCTTGGTTCATGGCCCCTTTCTGTCCTTAAAGCTAGCAGTGGCTGGTTGAAACTTTCTCACATGGCATCACTCGAACACAGACTCTTCTTCGGCTTCCCTCTTTCACTGTAAGGAGCCTTATGGTTTCACTGGGCCCATCTGGGTAATCCGGGATACTCTCCCTAGTTTAAAATCAAATGACAAGTAAACTTCATTTCCTACACAACCTTAATTCTCCTTTTGCATATTGACAGTTTCCAGGGATTAGGACATGAGCATCTTTGGGGACATTATTCTGTCTACCATAGCTACCTATCTCATAGGGCTATTGAGAGGATTCAATGAGTTTTAGGCTATAAAGCACTTTGCACAATGCTTAGCATGATGTAAATAATAAATGTTATCCTTATTGGTGTGAGTATTAGCTTATGTCTTCAGTCTCTCCCTCTTTACCCTTCATACTGGACTCAGAGTTGTATTTCAGGAGACCGGTTTCATCCTATTGTCCCCATCTTTAGTTCTTACTCTGTGTCCTCCTCTGTTCTCCCGCTACACTGTGTTTTCTATATATCAGTTTACCATTCTCGCTCTCTTTCTTTTTTTTTTCTCTTTTTTTGTGATGGAGTCTCACTCTGTCCCCCAGGCTGGAGGGCAGTGGTGCAATCTCAGCTCACTGCAACCTTTGCCTCCCTGGTTCAAGTGATTCTCCTGCCTCAGCCTCCTGAGTAGCTGGGATTACAGGCATGCACCATCACGCCTGGCTAATTTTTTGTATTTTTAGTAGAGACAGGGTTTCACTGTATTAGCCAGCATGGCTCGATCTCCTGACTTCATGCCCCACCACCCGCCTTGGCCTCCCAAAGTTCTGGGATTACAGGAGTGAACCACCGTGCCGGGCCTCTCTCTCTGTTTTTTTTTTTTTTTTTTTTCTGAGACACAGTCTCACTCTGTTGCCCAGGCTGGAGTGCAGTGGTGCTATCTCAGCTCACTGCAACCTCTGCCTCTGCCTCCTGGTTCAAGCAATTCTGCCTCAGCCTCCCGAGTAGCTGGGACTACAGGCGCACTCCACTGCGCCCAGCTTATTTTGTATTTTTGTAGAGACAGAGTCTCAAACATTCTGACCTCAAGTGATCAGCCCACCTCGGCCTCCCGAAGTGTTGGGATTACGGGCGTGAGCCACCACACCCGGCCTCAACTTACTATTCTCTAATTGTTGACTTACCTGTCTTCCACCAGAATGTAAGTGATTGTGTCAAAGTATGGTGCATGAACCAGCAACATTGGCGTCACTTGGAAGGTTGTTAGAAATGCAAAATCTAAGCCCCTGCACCCCACCCCCAACCCCACTTTTGCATCAAATGAATCAAAATTTGCTTTTTAACAAGATCTCCAAGTGATTCACATGTCCGTTAAAGTTTGAAAAATATTGTTCTGAAATATAACTGCCTGATAAATTGTAGGCACTCAATAAATGTTTATTGAATAAAATAAAAATTACACCAGGCACTTGTGTTAGATGGGAGAAGCACAGAAATAACAGGCATGGTTTTCCACAGCTCGTTGAATGATTCTGCTCTTATATTTCTTCATGTCTTTGTATAGCCTACATGATGGTCATCTCAGAATTGTTTAAAGGTGCAAGCTTGAGCTCCTATGAAATTACAAAGAGGCATCACATAGTTCAGATAGGCAAGGAATTTTTAATCTGTTTTGCTTACCACCATATCCTAACACCTGGGATAATGCCAGGCATATAAGCAGATGCTTCATAAATATTGTTGAATGAGTGAATCCGTGTGTTTTTTGTTTGTTTGTTTGTTTGTTTGAGATGGAGTCTCGTTCTGTCGCTCAGGCTAGGGTGCAGTGGCACGATCTTGGCTCACTGCAACCTCCACCTCCTGGGTTCAAGCGATTCTCCTGCCTCAGCCTGCCAAATATCTGGGATTACAGGTGCCTGCCACTGCACCTGGCTAATTTTTGTATTTTTAGTAGAGATGGGGGTTTCAACATGTTGGCCAGGCTGGTCTCGAACTCCTGACCTTGTGATCCACCTGCTTCAGTCTCCCAAAGTGCTGGTATTACAGGTATGAGCCACTGCGCCTGGCTGGCCATGTGTTTCTTTTTCTCCCAGTGGGAAACTTCACCACAAGGGGGACCCATTTGCAGCTCAAATCCATTCAAGAAGGTATTTCTTTCACCAAAAAGCCTCAAGATATACCATGCTTTTCTCCTTGTTCCACCACAGGAGACTGCTAATCACTAAGAACAAACAGGCAGCTGCTCTGGAAAGTAAATGTTTAAATAAGAAAGAGGGAGAGAAAGCTGCAGGGTTTGTCACCAAAGAGAGAATGTGGGAGTTCAGTCAGGCTGGTGGGAAAAATTTTAAGATGAAATTATAGGAATTAAACACAAACCCTCTTAGAAGGCCTGGGGGTTTGTGTAAAGTGTTTGGCTGAAGACAGCTGAACTCCCTTAAAAGCGTAGGGTGTAGATACATAGGAATATAGAGTAGTTTATCTAAATAGCTTGTTTACTCATGTGGTCCTAAGACCAACCTTTAATCAACCACGGGTGCATAATTTCTGTCTACTGGTGGATCGGCAACCAGGTCAATTACCCTCTAACAGTGTTTACTCAAGACCTTTGTCATTTAATCCATACTGAATAAATGTGAGCTTTGTTGGCTGAACGGGGCCACGGCTGCTACTCTTTACAGCACCTTCCTTGGTATCTGTGAGGGGCCCGGACCCTTAGCCAGACTGACAAGCAGAATATATGTGTCAGTGTACGTTATTCATCTGTCATTGGGTCAGTGTCTGTAGGATGGACCCCCGCAAGAGAAGCCATTTGCTGGCCAACAATTCACATAGTAAGCAGGAGAATTCTTCATGGCAAAACTATTGGCAAAGTCTCCGTTATGAAAGTGTCCCTGGAATATACATTGAAACAGGTATTAAAAGTACAGGTTCTGGTCCAAGAAAACAGGGCAGGTTGTACTGGGATGAAAACAGCATAAGACTCAGAAGAGTGGATCAGCAGATCATAAACAGTGAAAGAAGATTTGAAATCTGGTGTAACAGTTCCAGTGGCTAAGACTTTTACCAGTTCCTTGGTGATGAGAAAATGGAAATTAATGCCAAACCAATCTCAGTAGATATGGAACTGTGTGCCTGCTACTGGAGCTGTGCAGTAAACTCTACATGGTTCTCATGCCATAGTCATTCTTTTTGTTGTTGTTGTTTTGTTCTTTTTTTTTTTTTTTTTTTTAGATAGAAAGCGATTTGCCCACTTTGACCTCCCAAAGTGCTGGGATTATAGGCGTGAGCCACTGTGCCTGGCCCCATAGTCACTCTTAATGAATTGTTTGCTGTTGTCCTCAAGCCCTGAATTAAACTGTACCTACAAGTATCGGCCTGGGTGAACACAGGTGACAGATGCTCAATGCTGAGATACAGGATAACTCCCTGTCCTCACTGGTTTAATGATGTTTGTTTTTCTCTAAGAATGTATTTGCAATATGTCTGCATATCCGTTCTCTGCTTAGAGAACACTGTGTCTTGACTCTCAGCTCTAAGTTCACTTTTATATCTTCTTTTACAGCCAGCATAAATGTCACCCTTTCCCAAGTCTTTCCTGACTCTCCCAAGGAGTTATTTTGACACTATCTCTGCCATCCCATAGCCTTTGTACTTACCTCTCTTATAATACAGTTACTTATTTACCTGATCATCTCTCTAGATAAACTGCCAACTACTACAGCTATAGGCTGCACCTGATTCTCCTTTAATCTTCCTCCTGACTCCCAGAAATCACCAGCATGTAGTAGGCACCTGTAAATGCTCGTAAGTAGACCTTGGTCTCATCACCAGGACAGGCAGCCAAGCCTCACTGGTTCTTGGAAGATGTTAGTTAAGGGACAGTTGACTTGCTGTGGGCAAACATCTGGCCTTTAATTATTTAGCTGGTTAAATAGACTGTGATTGTCTCTGGTTGGTAGTTGCTATCTTTTTTTACAGGAGAAATCAATCTGCTGATATATCAGTTAGAAGACAATGTTATAGATAATGCTTATACATGGTGACCTAGTTGCCAACTGCATTGTATAAGCTAACAGTATCATAACACTTTGGATTAGAAAACTTATTATCATTATTATTAAGAAATCATTTCAATTTTTATTGCTGGAAGGACTTCATCTGGAATAGAGGCCCAACTAAAATGAATCAAAATTCTGCCTTTAGAAAGCTATTCAGCTTAATCATTTTGAAGACATGCCAATGGCAAACTACAAATTTAACTAAGGGTATTATGTTTCCTCCCTCTTTTTTTCCCTTCTTTCTTTCTCTCTCTTCTCTCTCTCCCTTTTTTCCTCCCTCCCTTCCTTCTTTCACTCTTTCCTTCCTTCCTTTTCCTCAGATATTTATTGAGCACTTACACTTTGACAAGTTTTTTTTTTTTTTTTTTTGAGACAGAGTTTCACTCTTGTTGCCCAGGCTGGAGTGCAATGGTGTGATTTCAGCTCACTGCAACCTCTGCCTCCTGGGTTCAAGCAATTCTGCTGCCTCAGCCTCCCGAGTAGCTGGGATTAAAGGCATGTGCCACCGTGCCCGGCTAATTTTGTATTTTTAATAGAAACGGGGTTTCTCCACGTTGGTCAGGCTGGTCTTGAACTCCTGACCTCAGGTGATCTGTCTGCTTTGGCCTCCCAAAGTGCTGGGATTACAGGCGTGAGCCACTGTGCCTGACTTGACAGGTCTTTTTTAGGCATAAGAGATAAAAAGTAAAGGAGCCATAACCCCCTGACTCCCAGTTGCTTTCTTTCTAGGGCTTTTCATTTGGAAAAAAGGAGAGAGAAGAGGGAGACTTTGAAATTTGTAAAAATGAATTAAGAGCAAGAGTTGGCAGCTAGTGATCAGCTTTGCACCAGTTGAGACAGCACTAAAAGGGTAAAATGTTACATCAGATAGTAAAATTCATTATTTAATTGCCATAAATCTAGACTGTATTAATTGCTCTTACTATATTTATATTGTATCAAATGAATACAAGATGTGGCCCCTGTCCTTGGGAACTTCATCATTAGAGTTATATCTTTTATGGAAATATAAGTTCTTTGTCAACATGATGAAAGGCTAGCATTTTTATGTCTATGGAAATGCTGGAGGAAACATGGTTCTAAGGGTTTGCCTTTCTAGTCTAGATCAGTAATTCTCAACATGCCATCCCCAAACTTCCAGCATTATTGTCAATTGGGAATTTGTTAAAAAGGCAAATTATTAGGCCCAAGTCAGAGCTACTGAATCTGAAACTCTGGGGCAGCAATCTATGCTTTAACAGGCTTTCTCTCTGTAATTCTGATGCATGCCCAAGTGTGACTGAGAACCACTACTCCAGTCTTGACCCTTGATATGCATAGTGTGGTCCCTGGACCAGCAGCAGTCGCTCGGAGCTTGTTAGAAATGTAAAGTCTCAGGCCCCAGTCCAAACCTACTAAATCAGTATTTGCACTTTACCAAGATTCTCATGCGATTTGTAAGCACATTGTATTTTGCAAAGCACTGCTCTAGACTAGATTATCCCTTGAAGGGCATTGAGCCAGAGCCAGTCTATGACTCCTCCCATTTCAGCCATCAAAGCACTGAAGTAGAAGGTAACAGGCTGTTCCTTCCACTTCCCTCAGCACTTGAGTGTCATTATCTAGAATTGGCATTTTGCAAATTTGGACAACATTGCAGTTTCTACAGAGAAGACTCTGCTCCTGTCCATGAAGACTGGGAGAGGTACCATATGAAATATAATCAGTTTGCTAGTACCAACAGATTGCTATTAAAATCATTTCAGTGTCAGATTTCCCCTTTCTTAAGATATAATTAGGTTTTCTGTCTGGAGGAGGGATAATACAGTTTCCAATGTAAGTGGGTCAAACAGATTTACAAAATAATGAGTAATAGGAGAAATTTGGAATTTCTCAGCCTGGTATTACTTTGGTATCAGGAAGGGCCAGTTTAGTTAAAGTGATGAATACAAGATATTGCAATTCTTCCCTAATGGATTGGTAAATAGCTGCTGTCCCTATGCCACCCCAGCTGCCCAGCTCTTCCTTTGGACTCTCCCTAGAGCTCCACATGACTCAGCAGTCTGCAATCAAGGTATTCTTGCCTGGCACATCAGGAGTCCCTAGGATCTTAAATAATGTGATTTGCAACTCTTCTGGTTTGTTAATGCTCTTACCCTACCACTTGTTAGATAGAGTCAATCTTTACTATTTGCAGATTCCATATTTGTGAATATACTTACTTGATACAAATTTATTTGTAACTCCCAAATCAACAGTTGTGATGCTTTCACAGTCATTTGTGGACATGTTCAGAGTGGGTAAAAACTTGAGTTGTCCAACAAGTGTGGTCACAGGCTCCAAGGGTTTAGCCAGTAAGCTCTATCAAACATTTGTAAAACAAGTAATTCCAGTCTTAGACACCATTTTATGTAAACAGAGACTCATTTAATGAATTTAGCATAATTTTGATGTCCAATCTGATAAAGTATGAATACAAAAATCATAGCAGAATCTTGCTTGTTAACATGGAAGCAAAAATGCTACGCAAAAAATCAGGAAATTCAATGATGTGTACAAAATGTCACATAAACAAAATGGATTTTTCCCAGAAATGCAAGGATGGCTTAATATTAGAAAATCTTTTAGTGTAATTCTCCACCTTAAGAAACTTATGCCATGATCTCAATAGATAAAAAGAACTCCAATAATATTCATCATTTTTAAAAAGAAGAAAAACTAACGCATCAAGAATAGATGGGAATCGCTTTAACCTAATAAAAAGTAGCCCCTCCACTCCCCCCAGTGATTAAGATGTTGTGACCAAAGGCTTGCAGGAACCTACCTAGTATTTCCTTAGGAGCAGTGGTTGAGTATTTGCTAAATGAGAGTTCCAGGTGAATTTATAGTACATAACTACCATGAATAATGAGAATTAACTGTATTTAAAATATCATCTTATGGGTGTGGTTTATACGTATTTTAATCTTTACTCTTGAAAGCTTTGTGAAAAAATGTGAAGAGTGCCGTCATCTCACCTTTTCATTGGATTGTGACTGTTTTAAAGTACTTACTGGGCGGGAATGGAGAATGGAATAGTCAAATGTTGCAGAAGGATATTCTCTGCGTGAATGTCTTCATCTTTGGATTCCCAAGGCAGCATTTATTAAATATTTCCCGAGTATGGTTAATTGATTGTGCATCTTCAAGGGGAAATTCCACGAACCAGTGATGTAGTTGTGAGGAGAGATTGGGATCTAGTTAGATCCTTGACTGGTGATTCTTACAAAATTCTGATTCCTTTTGCTACAAAGTGGATGTGAGGTGCCATAGAGAGAAAGTAGTAGGGAGAGCACAAAGCCATGAGCAAGACAGACATGTAAACAATTCCCACTCTATAATCATAGCTATATTTGAATGGTTGTAGGAGAAGCTGTGGGAAATTGGAGGAGGAAATGCCTGCCTTTTCTAGGAGGTTTCATGGAGAAGGAGATATTTGACTTGTGTCTTGAAGTATGGAAAGTCATTTTATTTATTTATTTATTTGAGACAGGGTCTCGCTCTGTTGCCCAGATTAGAGTGCAGTGGCACAATCATGGCTCACTGCAGCCTCAAACTCCTGGGCTCACGCCATCCTCCTGTCTCTGCCTCCCAAGTATCTGAGACTACAGGTGGACAACACCTAATTTTTCTTTTTTTTCAGAGATGAGGAGTTTCTATGTTGTCCAGGCTGGTCTCAGACTTGGGATCCAGTGATTCTCATGTGTCTGCCTCCTCAAATGCTAGAATTACAGTTGTGAGCCACCAGGGGAAGGAGTTCTTTAGGTAGGCAAGAGGGTGACATTAATTGAGGATTGAGAGGGGGTAGAATTTTAGGCAGAGATAGGGGAATTAGCAGAGGAATGGAGTTGTGTCCAGAGTGTGTGTGTGTGTGTGTGTGAGTGTGAGGGTGTGTGATATGTATGTGGAGTGTGTGGGGTGTGTATGTGCAGTGTGTGTGTGGTGTGTATGTATGAGCATGTGTGTGGTATGTGTGGGGTATATGTTTCTGTGTGTGAGTGGGTATGGTGTCTGTGATGTATATGTGTGTGTGGTATGTGTGGGTGTGTGTGGTGTATGCGGTGTGTGTGACAGTGTGTATGGTATGTGTGTATATGATGTGTATGTAGAGTATATGTGGTATGGATGGAGTGTTTGCATGGCGTGTGTGTGGTGTGTGTGAGTGGGTATGATGTGTATGTAAAGTGTGGTGTGTGAGTGTGTGTGAAGGAGGTTGAGCAGATAAGAAGGGGACAAAATGTTGGGGATGGGGTGAGGGGTGGTGAGTATCCTGTGCTGTCAGGGGTTTGGACTTGATCTTGTAGGCCCCAGGAGAGCAGTAACAGGTTTGTTTAGGAAAGGTCACCTTGCCAGCTGTGGGAAGGATAGTCAATTAGGAAGTCCCTGTGGTAATATTAGTGCTGGTGATGACCCACTTCGCACTCCCTCTCCAGAAAAATCTCTGTGCTCTTGGGGCCTTGAAAAGCAGACCAATACCTCTGATATCATTCTCTAAATTTAACCTTTTCAGACTTGAGTGGGCATACAATCTTCTTGTTGAAATGCAATTATGGTTCCATAGGTCTGGGTGGGGTCTGAGTCTCTGTAGTTCTAATGAGCTCCGGGTGATGCCAATGCTGTTGCTCCACAGGCATGCTTTGGAGAGGAAGGCTTCACCCTGTTTGCAAACTACAATAGCCTGGATTATAAAGAAATATTGATGTCTGGTGCCACCCTAGATATTCTGATGCAATAGGTGTAGGTGTAGGGTTTAGGCGGGGCACTAAGAATTTTAAAAGTGCCCCAGGTGAGGGATCAGTTTTTTTTTTTGTTTGGTTGTTTTGTTTGTTTTAAATTTTTCAATCCCTTCATGATTTTAAAAAATACACTAAAAATAAATTAATAGAAAAATAAAATTGAGAAAAAAGACTTGCAAATATAAGCCAGAATTTAAAAAAATTATCGTTAGATTCAACAGATGTGAAATGACTGTGTCAAGTTGCTATACAGGTTCTGTTTGCTTACTCTTCATTTCTGCACTTTTCTTGTTAGCGACCAGTAACAAAGAGTAGACCTACAACAGTCCTTGGACTACACTTTGAGCATCAGTACACCACACTCATAGCTGAAACCACCAGCCATTCAAGGAGGGCAGAGAATAGGGGATTCATCATTCCAGGGGGGCAGGAGCAATTGCTTTACCTTGGGATGGCTACTGGTGGCTAGAATGGGCCTGATGGAATGAGATTTCTTGCTCACTGTGTTTCCAGATTCTATAGTACCTGGTGAGATCTAAGGGCTCTTAATGATTCCCTGGTGGTGGTGGTGGTGGTGGTGGTGGCGGTGGCTTCACCTGTCAGAAAAATCATTATGGAAGAAGAAGGAGGGAAACTTTTTCTAGCTTCTTGGGTCTTTCTCTATAAATCTTTTCTCTTTGCCTTCAAGTTTTGTTGTGGTATAGTTATTGGGTTTAAACTTCCTCCTTGAGAATGGTGACAGCTACCTTCTCCCACGCTATATTTTGCAATAAGCCTTGTTATTTTGTACAGGTTATTTCTTTTCCATGCCTTAAAATGCCAGCTAAAACCCTTAGGACAATGTTACATAGAAGTAGCGAAAGTCATTGGGTGCCCATGAGTTGTTTCTGACTTTACAAAAAATGCATTCAATGTGTTACCACATTTTTTTCTTTTTCTTTTGCTGGGGGTGGGAATTTGTGGGGGTTACTCTTTATTAGGTTAAAGAAATTCTCCCCTATTCTCGATATGTTAGGAGTTTTTCTTCTTTTTTAAAATGATGAGTATTATTGAGGTTCTTTTTAATCTATTGAGATGATGACATAAGTTCATAAATGTATTAAGTGGAGAATTAAAAGATTTTCTAGACTGGGCG
This sequence comes from Homo sapiens, assembly GCF_000001405.40. Lineage (NCBI taxonomy): Eukaryota > Metazoa > Chordata > Mammalia > Primates > Hominidae > Homo > Homo sapiens. The sequence continues at coordinate 132,261,321 of NC_000003.12, read as the reverse complement.
CGGTGGCTCACGCCTGTAATCCCAGCACTTTGGGAGGCTGAGGTGGGCAGATCACGAGGTCAGGAGATCAAGACCATCCTGGCTAACATGGTGAAACCCCGTCTCTACTAAAAATACAAAAAATTAGCTGGGCGTGGTGGTGGGCGCCTGTGGTCCCAGCTACTCGGGAGGCTGAGGCAGGAGAATGGCATGAACCCGGAGGCAGAGCCGAGATCATGCCACTGCACTCCAGCCTGGGTGACAGAGCAAGACTCTGTCTCAAAAAAAAAAAATAAATAAAAATAAAAATAAATAAAAAAATAAAAAATAAAAAAAGATTTTCTAGTGTTATGCCTTCTAATGAAAGTATTTCTGGGAAAATCCATTTTATTCATGTTATATTTTATACACATCACTGGATTTGCTTTACTTTGTGTTTAGCATTTTTTGCTTAGTTAGTAATAAGAGTGTCCTGTGACTTTTCTCATTCATACTTCATCATATTGGACATCAAAGTTATGCTAAACTCATCAAATGATTCTCTGTTTACCTGAAAGAGTTTATAGAAGACTAGAATTACTTGTTTAATGAATGTTTCGTAGAGCTTGCTGGTTAAACCCTTGAAGCCCGAAGTTTTTGTGGGCAGATTTTTAACTAATGACTCAAATTCTATAATTGTTGTAGTGTTCACTTATTTTTGTAGTGTGAATACTCCCACCCTGGCCAACATCAAGCTACCAACAGTTTAACAATCAGCTCACAAAATTCTTTAATAATTGACTTAATAATTGACTCCTGGATTCCTGTCTGAGATGGATGCATGACACCCATTGATAGGGTTGTATCTTCTGGATTTTTAATTGAAATTGCATTATATTTTTCTACAAATTTATTCATTTCTTTGTTTTCAAATTTATTGGCATAAAATTATACTATTCTCTCGGTATCTTTTAAATCTCGACATTATATTTAGCTATGTCCTTTACATTTTTAATATTATTTTTTTTCCTTGCTCAATCATGCAAATAGTTTGTCAACTTTTGTCTTTGTTGGTCCTCTCTACTGTATATGTGCTTTATATTGCATTAATTTCTACTTATCTTTATTTTTTCTTCCATCTACTTTTGCTGGGTTTATTCTGTTTCTCTTTTCTTAACTTCTTAAGTGGGATGCTCTGTCTGCCAAGGTCCTGGCAAGAAATAGATGGCATAGTCAAAGGAAGACTTAAGAGAGTGTAAGGAGGAGAGTATTTACATAAATGTGTCAGGGTTAAAGAAACCAATAAGAGATGAGTTACCCAGAACTAGCAACAGTAGTAAGCCTCATTACTCAGTTGTGAGGGGGAAGGTAGACTCTTTCCAGACCTTTGATAAAGGGGCTGCTCAAAAAAGCCACGACCTTGGGCCTCTGCTAAAACCATGGCTTTAAGTAAGGAGGGAGCAGATATATAAAAATCCTTATCCCTCTTTCTAATCTCTTATGTCCTGTGAGTGTCACCCATTGAGTAAACCCAAGTGGAAGTCAGCAGGAAAGTAGCTGGGATGATGCAGTCTTTACAGGTAAGCCTTTTGGAAGCACAGAACAATGGACAGAAGGGCAACTAATAGATCTACAGGGGTGCCCTGAAAGTGATCAGCAGAGAGACTTAGCTATTGATTTCAATCTCTCCCGTCCTCTCATTGGTATATTTAAGGTTATATATTTCCTTTTAAGTACTATTTTAGCTGCATTTCATAAATTATAAAATGAGGTAGTCCATTATTATTCATTGCCGAATATATTGTAAGTCCTATTAAGATTTCTTCTATAACCCATGAAGTATTTAGATGTATGTTTATTTCCATACATAAGCGGTTTTGTGTGTTTGGTATTTATTTCTAACTTAACCACATTGTGATCTGAGCTAGTGTGTCTGACACTAATTCCTGGGAAGTTTTTGAGACTTTATTTCCAGTCCAGTACATAACGATTCTCTCTGTGTTTGAAAAGATTGGGTGTTTTGGTTGTAGTATTCTGTGTATGTCAGTTAGTCCTCAATAGATCAAGCTTCTTATGATTTATTCAGATTTTCTATGTCTTTACTGATTTTTGTCTTGATCTGTCAATTACAGAGATAGGTGTATTGAAAACTGTCATTATGATATATTTTTTCATTTCTCTTGTTTTCTGTCAACCTTTGCTAATACATTTGAAAAATATTTTATTAGAAAGAATTTAGTCAGTATTTCTTCCTGGAGAATGCATCTCTTTAAAATATGTGCCGACCATCTTATCTTTTGTTTTTCTTTCTGTCTAAAAGTCTATCTTGATGGACAATAATGTAGCTCTACTAGCTTTATTTTGGTTAATATAATAGTGACATTTCTTTTCATCTTGGCTCTTTCATCTGGAATCACTTTTCTTCTGTAGGATGAACATTCATTACAAATTTCTTTAGTGAGAATCTGTTGGTCCATCTGTTAGGCATTTGAAAATGTCTTTACTTGTTCCTGTTTTTCAAAAATGTCTTTCTTTAACATGTAATTCTGAGTGAACATTTATTCCTCAAGGGAATTATTTTCCTCTTTACTCATTTCCAAGTTTTAAAGTGCAATTTTCCTTGCAATTTCTGGGAGTTTGGATAGGGGGATCACTGAGGGCTAAGTGTAGGTTGAACCATGGAAAATTGTTTTTCATAAGTCAAAAATAATCAAATATTGGCAATTTCTTATGGCTTAACCTTAATTGTCTACCCTTATGCTCAAATTGGATACCTTTGGGAAATCCTAGCTTTAGATAGAGGTGTTTGCTATAAGATCATCCATGTTGTTTGGGCTGTGGGTTTTGTCACCTGTCCTCCATATTCTATGAGGCCATGGAAACAGAAAATCAGTAACTTGACCAGGCAAATGACTTCAAGGTAAGAGCCAACTTTAATATTCAGTTTACTTCTTCTCGTTTTTATTTTGGCCTCTAACTATTCCTTGGTTTCTTGCAAGCTTATCAATATACTTAAAAGATATTTTGAATATTTTAGTGGCATCATTTAGTTTTCAGTGGGAGTGGTAATGGATGCAGTCTGCCATACTGCCAAAAAAAGAAGTGCTTCTCTTTGTCCTTTCTTCTCATACATTTTAAAATTGAGGTATATTCCACACAGCATAACATTCACTCATTTATTTATTTATTTATTTATTTATTTATTTATTTATTTATTTTGAGATGGAGTCTCGCTCTGTCACCCAGGCTGGAGTGCAGTGGTGCAATCTCGGCTCACTGCAACCTCTGCCTTCCGGGTCCAAGCGATTCTTCTGCCTCAGCCTCCCGAGTAGCTGGGACTACAGGTGCGCACCACCATGCCTGGCTAATTTTTGTTATTTTTAGTAGAGATGGGGGTTTCACTATGTTGGCCAGGCTGGTCTTGAACTCCTGACCTTGTAACCCACCTGCCTCAGCTTCCCAAAGTGCTGGGATTACAGGCGTGAGCCACCGCACCCAGCCACATTGACTGTTTTAAAGTATGCGATCCAGTGCTTTTTAGTGTATGCACAAAGTTACGTAAACATCACCATTATCTGAATGGAAAACAGTTTATCATCACCAGAAGAAACTGTACTTGTTAGCAATCACTCTCTATTTCCCCTTCCCCCAGTTCTTGGTAACCACTAGTTTACTTTCTGTTTTTATAGATTTGTCTATTCTGGACATTTAATATTAGTGGAACCACACAATACGTTGGTCTTTTGTCACTGGCTTCTTTTATTTAACATCATGTTTTCACAGTTCATCCGTGTTGTAGCATATATCATTAATCCATCCATTTTAATGGCTGGATAATATCCATTGTATGGAGACACCACATTTTGTGTATCCATTCCTCAGTTGATGGACATTTGGGTTTTTTCTACTTTTTGTCTTTTATGAATAATGTTGCTATGAACATTTGTAAACATGTTTTTATGCCAACCTATGTCTTCAATTCTCTTGGGTATGTACTTAGACATGGAATTGCTCACTCATCTGAGGTCATAAAAGGGTGTCTTAAGATAAATTTCTACATTCTAAAATTGGATTGCAAGGACTTGCTTGAGAGGTGATCTGTGGCCTTGATGACTTCAATCCCCCTGCCTTCCTTTCACCCACTTCAGCTTCCCCTCTTATCCCTGAATGTGCTGCTCCCTCTGCTGGGAACACTTTTCACATCCTCCTTTCACTTTACCAATTCCTGCTAATCTTTCAAGTCTCAGCTCATGTGTCATTGACACAAGGAAGTTTTCTTGACACCCCAGATGAGGTCAGGCACCTGCTTATGTGAATGATTTAGCATCCTCATTGTCTCTTTTTAGTTATTTTCTTTTACTATTAGTAATTTTACATTCGTAAGTGATTATTTGATTTTACATCTGTGTTCCTTGTTAGACTGTAAGATCCATAATGGCAGGGAAGATGCCTGTAGTTGTTCACCATTGTGTTTCTAGCACCCAGAACAGTCTTGGGAATTAGCAAGCTTTCAATAAGTATTTGATGAATAAATAGATGCAGTGAAAGCTGATTGTAAAGATGCTACATTAGTTTGCTAGAGCTGCAGTAACAAAGTGCCACACATTGGGTGGCTTAAATAACAGAAATTTATTGTCTTCACAATTCTGGAGGCTGGAAGTCCAAGATCAAGTTATCGACAGGTTTGGTTCCTTCTGAGAACTGTGAGGGAAGGATCTGTTCCGGAACTCTCTCCTTGGCTTGTAGATGGCCGTCTTCTCTTTTTCAATTCACATTGTCTTTCCTCTAAGCATGTCTCTGTATTCAAATTTTCCTTTTTTATGAGGAGGAGAGTCATATTGGTTTAGACCCCACCCTAATTATATTTTTACTTGATTTCCTCTGTAAAGGCCCTGTCTCCAAATAGTGTCACATTCTTAGGTACTGAAGGTTAGTACTTCTACACATGAATTTAGAGGGACACAATTCAACCCATAACAGATGGTTATAGACTACTGCCTTTAATGGCAACTGGAGTTTGAGGCTGAGAGGGATGGCAAGTTCATGACAGTGTGTGTTTCAAAGGAACAAGCGCCAAGAGGCACTTAGCTAGCAATTAGTAGATCCAGAATGCAAACTCTTTCACCTAAAACAGGTTTGCTTATTTCCATGTTTGGATCTTTACCTACTGTGGGATAATGCAACCCTTTGAACATACAGGATTTCAAACCATATAGGTCTAGGGAACTTTTCCCCATTTCTTACATAATCTATACGTAAAGGGTTTCATGGTAAAATATATTTAGGAAATGCTTCAGACACACTTGGCTTTCTTAGAGTGTTATAAGGCACATATACTAGAGACTCTGATAAATCTTGCAGTAAAGTGACTTCTTTAATCCAATATTTCTTGAATTTATTTATTTATTTTTACCAAGGAGTCCCCTCTCGGTGTTAACATGCTGTATCATTTGTCATTTATTATGTAATTTATTAACTTACTGAATCATTTGGTCAGATAGGTTTGGGAAATGCTAGGGTTTCTTCTGTGAGTGGGAGAGAGATGCTATCCCTGGTGACCACCTTTCCATCTTTCCTCTCCTTATAAGAGGGTAATTACCTCTCTATATCTCTCTCTTCCTGTTTACATGTCACATTTAGGTTTTGTATGAATATCAAAAGCCCTGGCTGTGGCTAATAGTTTTGGCTGCTGTCACAGAAGATGAGAAGGTGGCTGTGTTTACTGGTGTAAGTTTGTTTACACAGGAAATATGCAAAGAAACCCTCCCTCATTCCACTGCTCTTAGAAACACTGCAAGCCAAACATAAGATCTTTTCTGGGTCTCTAAGTGCCTCAGCGATGATTTGAGCAGTAGTCATGCATCTGTTGCAAGCTTTTCTTTGTTAAGATCCCAATTTTAAGAGAATCAACAGTATAAAATATCACACTTGAGTGGGAAGCTGATTTTAAAATGGCAGATGAGATAATAAGATCAGATTGATGTTAATTCCCTTACTGCGAATCCCACAGACTTTTGTGAGAATGGAGACCAGACTTATTCTAAGGCATCTGCTTCTTCCCACGTTCCTCCCACTTGAGACTGAGGAGGCAAATTGCTTGGGGAAACCCCTAGTCACGCAGCTGTAGCCTCTCTAGAGATGGATAAAGCAGCATGTAGGTGAATGGTATTAGGAAGCAAGTGAGTCACTGCATTTTGGCATCATAACTCACCACTGTCTGTGGCACAGCAGCAATAGCCATTTTCCTTAAGCAACATCTGGACGTGACTGCATGAAGTTACCCATGGGATAACAAGAAGGCTGAGGAAAGAACATGAATTCCCTGACCTTCATCCCAGGAGCTCAGTTTGTCTTTGTTTTAGCTCCAGAAGTACAGCTCTAATTAAAACCTCCATCAAGGAGGTGAGGCCTGGTCTAAAGGACCCCAGGAAGGCCACATTGGGCCAAGGAGCCAGTTAAGTTTAAGGAAGCTCGGGGGTGAGTTTGATGCCAGGAAACAGAGATAAGCTTGAATGAGCAGCCCTAAAGGGTTCTCTTAAGAAACATTCTCCAAAGTCCATTTGGCTTCTGTAATTCTGAGGTTCTTTATCCTAGAAATACATCAAGCCCTCTGCTAAGTGCTTTACCTACAGGTGTTTTTTAATCTGTAAAATAACTCCATGACACGTGTTCTGTAATTATACTTATTTTATAGGTTTTGAAACAGGTTCATAAAGGTAAAGCCACATGTCCAAGATCACGCATCACTAGGATTCACATCCAGATCTGTCTGACACCTGAACCCCTGCTCTGCATCACCATGTTGCCTAACTTCATGAGGGCGTGCAGCATGTTATGAATGGAAATGCGCTTTCACAATCATCTCCCTCCATCTCTACTATAACTGTGTTAGATAAGTTGAGTAGGTATTATTATTCCCTTAGTGCAGAAGAGGAAACTGAGGCATAGAGAGGCTAAGTGACTTGTCCCAGGTCCTGTAGTGATAGGTGGTCAGATCAAGGGCCCAAGTCATATCTTCTCCAAGTCCAGTTTCTTCCCACCCCATGCTGCTCTTTGAGGTCTGCTGTTTTATAGCCCCTGCTTCTCTAGCCTGAATGTGTGGTCAGGGTTTGTGGTGAATGTGAAATTGAGTCAGAACCCAGTTAATTATGGAGAGTACATCATAATGCCCTTAGGATGAAAAATTATCATTATTGTTGTTTTTAAACACAAGACTCACCTAAAAACTTCCCATGAACAAAATCTATAGTTTAGTTGGAAATATAATTGTTTCACTGACCTGTTTCTTAACGCTCCTCATTATAAACAACAGGAAAACTATATGTAATAAAACTTTGACAAAACTGTAAGTTGCCTAAACAAAATCAGTTAAAAAAAAAAGTAAAGTTTTTATTTTATGATCGCTTAAGGAGCCTGAGGATATGAAAATGGTAGAGGTGGAAGAAACAAGGGCTGGGAGTTAAAAGGGGGTGTTTGGTGAGGAAGAAAAAATAATGAATTGCAGTACTTTAAGAGCCACTGAAATGAAGCACTATAAATTGCTCATTAAAAAAATTATTTGTGAATTAAACTTTCAAGACTTAAAAAAACAAATAAAAATTTTGACAGATTATAGCCTGATCAAGGTGCTCATCTTGCCCTTACTTTTTATCAAATTATTAAAAATTATGTATAGATGACATTAAGATGTCTGAGATTTGATTCAAAATAATCTAGTGGGCAGGATAAGTAAACATGATTGGCCACTTGTTGATAACTGCTGATACTGGCTGATGGGTACATGGAAGTTCATTATATTCTCTCTAGTTTTGTTATTTGTATGAAAATTTCTATAGTACAAAGTTTTTGTTTTTTGTTTCTTTTTTTTCCTTAAAGAAACTTTATTTCTTGTAGCCACCTAGTGCCATCTATTGGACGTCTATGGGAACTGGCCTTTAGGAGAGGAAAACCTGCTGAATCGTTAAGTACGATGCACAGTAACTAAGAAGTGAGACTCTTGGCTACTCAGTTACTTCGAAGGACCAAACAGTGGGCAGTTGATGGGCTTGCTTCTACTTTTGGAGTCACAGAGTTGGGTATAGGTATGAAATATGAACTTTTCAGCCAGGTGTGGTGGCTCACGCCTGTAATCCCAGCACTTTGGGAGGCCGAGGTGGGGGCAGATCATGAGGTCAGGAGTTCGAGACCAGCCTGCCCAACATGGTGAAACCCTGTCTCTACTAAAAATACAAAAATTAGCCAGGTGTGGTGGTGTGTGTCTGTAATCCCAGCTACTCAGGAGGCTGAGGCAGGAGAATCACTTGAACCTGGGAGGCAGAGGTTGCAGTGAGCTGAGATCGCGCCACTGTACTCCAGCCTGGGCAACAGAGCAAGACTTTGTCTCAAAAAAAAAAAAAGAAATATGAACTTTTTTATGTCTCAGTCAGGTAGTCATCTATAGAAACAAATAGCATATATAAGCTTTTTTTTTGAGAGACCTTAGAAAACCAGCAGTTTGGAGGGTCACAAAAATTCTATTATAACTTCTGAAAGTAGGAAATAATATTTTTATGAAATCGTTTCTGCACTAATGTGTTTCTTAGGTTACTCAGAATCTGTAACAATGATAGATTTTAGAGTTCAGAGCCTCATGGGTTGAACTTTTGTTGTCTCATGGTCCCTTGTTGATTTGACCCTCTTCTGGCCAAATAGCCAACTTGCAGATTGAGCACCATTTTAACCAGGAAAGGGATGGAAAGATAACCACTTAGTGTCTATTTTCTCTTGCTTTTTAATATTTTCTCATTTAATCCTCACAAACACTCTGTAACATTGGTATTGATATTAAAGTGCTGGGTCTGCCATAACAAAGTACCACAGACTGGGTGGCTTTGGCAACAGAAATTTATTTCTTCACAGTTCTGGAGGCTGGAAGTTCAAGATCAAGCTATCGGCGGGATTGGTTTCTTCTGAAGTCCTTTCTCCATGGCTTGTAAATGGCCATTTTCCCCATCTGTCTTCACATGGTCTTCCCTCTATGTGTTTCTGTGTTCTAATCTCTTTTTCTTATAAGGACACCAGTCCTATTAGATTAGGGCCCACCTCAGTGATCTCATTTCATCTTAATTACCTCTTTAAAGGCCACATTCAGAGGTACTGAGGGTTAGGGCCTTAATACAAGAACTTTTGGGGGGACACAATTCAGCCCATAACAGTGTTATCATCGTTACCCACCCCCCGCTTTTTTTTTTTTTTTTTGCCAGTGATAGAGTGAAGACTTGGATTATTTCAGTATCTACCCCCAGATCTCATAATGTGGAAGTGGCACGGTCTGGATTTGAATCTGGATTACTCTCACACTCTTTTCTCTCCCACACTGCATGCTGGTGTCCTGTTTACCCCTTTCTGCATGCCAGGAGACACTTCTTGTCTCTGACTTCCTCTTGGTGGAGCTGAACAGCACCCCTCAGGTCTCTGCTGCTTTGAGAACAAAGATTTTTGTCATTGCTTTTATTTTAGTAGTAAATTAAGGTTTTAAACCTAAACATTTAAATTCAGTTATATTTATTTCAGTAGAAACTGAAGGTTTGTACTGCTCATTTCTCCAGGGAAATAGACAAGGGCTAACCCAAATACTAAAGTAGTAAGACATTTTTGTCCTGATTTCCTTCTCTGTTGTCTGGGTTGCCCTTCTTGGCTGGCTCTTCAGGAGCCCCGAGCCTTGTTATCTTCTACTTTTATCCTGCAGATAAGCTGTTCCTCAGTTTCCCCCTCCCTTCATTTGCTCCATTTGTCCATCACCCCATCTTCCCCTGATCTCTTCCTTTAGGAAGATGTCTAGAGTCAATTCCTTACTGCGTTTAGAAGGCTCACTTAGAGCAGATCAGCAGTGGCAAATCAGTAGGTGATTCAAAAGACTCTCAAGCTATAATTTACATCTTGGGAAAAGCCTGAATAGGTAGCTCTCATTTTTCACAAAATTTTTTCTTACCTGTCGATAATAATATTAACAATGAATCTGCCTGTTCAAGATGGCTGACAGAGCATACCTGTTCAATTGTCCTCCCTTCCCAAATTCTGTGAGAATGAACGAAGAAATATAAACATTGAACATAATAACTTATATATCTACTTTCACGTACACTCATTTGATATTCACAACAAATCTGAAAGTTAGGCAGTAATGGCTACATTTTAGCTAAGGAAGCGAAGGCGCAGACAGAGACTAGCTTGCCCAAAGCAAACAGCCAATCAGTGGAGGAGCTGGCAGCGCAACCCAGATGTCCAGGATTATCTCATTCAGTGCTCTAGTTTGTCGAGGTTATTTTGTTCTGCGAGTCCAACCATCCGACCAGGCAGCCTCCGTTTCTAATTGCCTTAGAATTGCTCATATGGTGAAACAACTTTATATCTAATTTAAAATTCAAAGGTCTGTTTTTGTTTGCATTAGATCTCAATTTACTGCATAGGCTGTATCTGGTCTTACCATCCATCCCTCCTGTAACACAGGCCCTCTCCAGAGTAGCAGAATTTTCAGTGGTGTGTGGGTGATGCCCAAGATTCATTGAGCTGGCCATCTTAGGCAGCTCTCTATCGCATTTAGTATTATGACAGTATCTATGTTTTGGTTTGGTGGATAAAATTATAATGCAATTTGATACATGGTTTCTTAAAACTTTTTACCTTATTGGTGTCTACCTGAAAGCAATGCCAAGTGTCCAGTTTCTAAAAGTGATGAGCAGAAATAGATGAGGCAGGTGTCTATGGAGAGTTTGTCTTGTCCTTGAATTCAAAAAGGTTTGAGAACCATGGTTTCAGATCATCCTAAATAAAATGCAATATTCCTGAGCAGTTGTGTAAAGAGGAAATGCACCCAATCCACGGCTTTACTGACATGATTAGGCAAACGATTATTGACCAAAAGCTGTTTAGGATAAAAGTGAGCATAAATCCTTATACTGGCCAAGGCAAACAACTTTTAGCTGTACATGGCAGATAGATATGAGTGAATTCTACAAATGAAACCAAATCACGCCAGACAAACAAAACACTAGTACCTAAATCTGAGAATTTGAGAGCTGTCAGATAAGGTGGTAACCTACAAGATATATTTGATAACGAACAGATTTGAATATACTGACATTTAAAAATAACAATTTTTCTTATTTGCTCTATGCTTTTCAAGAACATTTCTTATTTGATTGCATTTATTATAGAATTTGGGAACAAACTACTTGTTATTTTACTATATGGACATACTGACTGCTACTTTTTGGTTACATTCTCTACCACCCTCTGTATCTTGTTCACTGATTATGTATAGACAGTACATATTCACACACGTGCCATGTGTACCACATATACAGATACACTATGTAGTTAGTGGCTACCACACATACATACACACATACACATCAGGATTATATTGCACATGATATATTGTAAGCTTTTCTCCCTTAAATATATAATGAATTTATTTGCATGGGAACAAATAGACTTATACATTAAAAAGTGCCTTATGTTCTAGGCCAATTTGTAAGCACACAGGCTGCTATAGAAGATGAGACCCATATTACTACTGAATTTCCACCCAGCCGGCAATATCCATTGCTTCTATACATTGGATTTATTATAGTTTATCATTTCCAGATCGGTGTTCAGGGTTTAGGTAGCTGGTTGATAGAGAAGTATAGGCATTCCTTGTTTAGGCATGGGATGATTTCCTGGAACTGGGAGACCAACCAAATGAGCAAAATGAGCAAGAGGTGGTGTTAGCAGAACATAACCTCTCTGAAGGCGCTTTTCTGTAATTGATCTTGTAACTACCCTGAATTCTTCTTTTTTTTTTTTTTGAGATGGAGTCTCACTCTGTTGCCCAGGCTGGAGTTGGAGTTGGCTCACTGCAACCTCCGCCTCCCGGGTTCAAGCAATTCTCCTACCTCAGCCTGCTGAGTAGCTGGGATTACAGGCATGTGCCACCATGTCCAGCTAATTTTTTTGTATTTTTAGTAGAGACAGGTTTTCACCATCTTGGCCAGGCTGGTCTTGAACTCCTGACCTTGTGATCTGCCTGCCTTGGCCTCCCAAAGTGCTAGGATTACAGGTGTGAGCCACCACGTCTGGCCCTTGAATTCTTTTAAAATCTCCTAATGTTAGGAGATGCCTCAGGCCAAAGTTTTTTAGGCTATGATTCCCTCAATTTTGGTCATTCTTCCCAAGCTGCAGTGGTAATGCCCTGACTACTTTTGACAGGCACCCTGTTTTCCCTGCCGTTTCTTTGAAGGCATCTTGAGCTGCTTTAAAAGTTGTGTTTTAATACTCAGTGTGATAATCTTCCTCGCCACTTTTGAATCACTTTCAGCACAATTACTTGCAAACTTTTTGTTATCCATCATGAGTCAAAAACCTTCAGTGGAACATGGCATGAGGGCAGGAAGAGACAAAGTGACCAAAGATAGTGGTGTAACAAGGGTGGTATTGGTGGGAGCAGTCCCCTGTGGGTGCAGGCAATGAGTGGGCACATTGTAAACAGCTTAAAAACAGTAATAAGACAAAAAATTTGTCTGCTTTGTTATCACTGAGCACCAGCAATTCTAAATGATGTCAGTGATAAAATTCTTCTCTGTACCTCAGCTGACTGTTCCCATCTGCTGCCTCTCCGGGAATACCACTGCTGAGCAAACACTAGATTTCCAGGCTCTGTCCACAGTGAAGGAAGCACAGTTGAGTTCATTAGTACTTTCTGGATGACAGCATTAAAATATTATAGCCACATGTGGCTGTTTACAGTGATATCAATCAAAATAAAATAATATTAAAAATTCACTTCCTCAGACACATTTTAAGAGCTCATTAGCTCTATGTAAGTAGTGGCTACCATACTGGACAGTGTAGACATAGAATATTACCATCATTAATGAGAACTCTAGGAGACAGTGTTGCTTTAGACTACCAGCAGTCTGGCCATAAGAAAAACATATATTAAATTCATTGCTCAGATGCACTGTATATAGTAAACATTATTGCATGTATTACATATATATAGTCATAATATTTATGAGAATAAATAGTGGCATAAGAAGTCAGCATTTTATGGGGCAGCATTAAATGACATAGCATCTTTGCCCATAAAAGTTTGAGAGTAGTATAGCTCAATGTTAATATTAAATGCCCACTTTGTGCCAGATACTAGGCTAAATATTGGAGACAGCAGAGTAATTAATTGAATGCCTGCCTAGGAGTAGTTTAGATCTAGTAGGGGAAACAAAGAGGTAAACAAATATTACATTGCAGTGAGATAGTTATAATAATTGAAATGTGTTTATAGTATGTGGCCAGTACAAAGGAGGGCTTAATAAGCTATCTCTACCTTGAAGGTGGAACTTGGTATTTCAAGTTTGTGTGGGAAAGGGCAATATGGCAATGTAATTGGAGAAATGAAGACCTAGGGTGATTTACTCACAAGGATCAATTTAGCTCAGCCTACTGTAAAAAGGAATAAACAAGGTGGTTTCCAGGCTTAAGGAAAAGGGGTGAGCTTTACTGCAAGCACTGATGTTGTTAACCTGGAGGATGAGTTAGGTTGTCAGGATTAGAAATGTCAGCTGAGTTAATGTCATAGAATCACAGTGTCATAGAATCATAGAAGTCATTGTATGAAGATTGAATTATGAATAATAAGTATGAAATGAATTGGGGATAATGGCATGCTAAGACAGGGAAGTAGGGAAGAAATAATAAAGGGCAAAGTATAGCAGGAAAAAACAAAGAAGCATTATTTGACCCAATGTTGAGTCCCACCTAGAATAACATTTGTGCTTTTGGCCATAATTAAAGCAGCAGAGTAACTGGAGCTCCAGAGTGGGGGTAGTTTTGTCAAACCCCTGGCTTCTAGGGACATTGGTGCCTTTAAAACACTTGTAGGGTAAATATAAACAGTACTTATTGCAGTGGCTCTCAAAATTTAGTGAACATAAGAATTACCTAAGGAGCTGTTAGAAGAGATTTTCTGGGCAAGTCCCCACTCCACTCGAGTATGTTTGGGATGAGGCCAATAATTTGCATTTTTAACAACCATCCCAGGTATTTCTTATGAAAGTGGCCCCACTGACCACAGTAGGAGAAATACTAGTTTATTAGAACAATGAAATGGGAAAGAAGAAGTCAGGACACATGAAGACTTCCTGGTCACTTCCCTTCCAAAAGAAGAGAAGGAATATACAAAGTGAATATTAGTTTTGATTTCCAGAGAAATTTTCATCTAAAGCAAATGGTAAATGGATTCCAGACATTGGCTATTACACGTGGAAATGAGCTGACCCCATTAAGAATAGTAAGAGGGAAATAATTGCTTGCACTTTAAGATTTATTTAATTTGCAACATAGGTTTATTAACAATAATTTGTTTATTTCTATAAATTGGGGACAAGGCTAGGGTTTGTCTAGCCACAGCTCTGGGTGAAATTCTAAGCAGACACTTAGTGAAAATCAGGTCTTTGTTGTAGCCAGCATGCTGCCTCTCTATTAGTTCTCAAAGATCCTTTTTAAGTTCCTCTGAGGAATGTTTCTCACTCGAGATAAAGGGGAAGCTCAATATCCTCCTAGGTCACCATTATTGATCTGCCCTAAACTTTCTTTCTTACCAAAATGAAGGGCTCTGCATCAAGGGATCTTCATGGAAGAAAAGCTCCTCTCAGCACGCAGGGCACAAGATGGCTGATGTGGTTGATGTTCTGTATCCTTGGGGATAAAAGAGAGGAGAAAGGGTAACTGGGCTTCTTGGAGTAGAAGAGAGACAAAGTCTAGGAGAATGTGGTAAGGTGTTTTGAACCTCTAGGGCTTCCTTATGTTTGATGTGGGCATTCTTTATAACTCTAATTTAGTCATAAAGTCCTTAAATGGGTAGTGTTTGGTCCTTATTGGATGGATGGCATAGGCAAGGGGGGCCTGGGGAACGGGAAGTCTTGGAGAGAACTCTAAGGAAGGAAATCCATAAAAGAGGGAGGAGAACAATGTGCCCTCCCAGAAGCCTGCTGGAAAGGAAGGCTGATGGAAGGTGCCTAGAGATAAGGTATTGAGTCAGAAAATGTTAAACAGAAGAGTGCCTTTGGTAAATGCTGAAAATCTCGTGGCGGCTTATTGTTATTGCCCTGATACAAAGTTCCATCTTCCTCATTTGCCTGGGACCAATATGTCTGAGCTCCCTCCTCCTGGACAGGAAAGTAACTACCTAGTCATTCTGGGGACCCAAAGACCTTGCTACCAAGTGGGTCTCCTAACTACCACTGAGCTGGCTAGACAAAAAACTTTCTGGGTGATGGTAGCCTTGAGGTTTGGCTAGGGTCACCCTCCCATGACCCAGCATAGGATTGGCTGGAGGCTGAGGCAGATGGATAGACTGGGGAAATTCAGGGCTGATGAGAAGGAAGCCACTGGCCCACAGGATCACTGCTGAAGCAGTTTATCTTCTCTGAGTTTTCAGTTTGAGGAAAATCTAACTATAGAACAAAACAAAAAGTCTCAACAAGTGCTATTTATATTCCCATGGAAACACTCTCATAATCTAAAACAGTGGTTTTCAAAGCGTGTTTCCTGGACCGGCAGTATTAACATCACCTGGGAAACTGTTAAAATTGGCAAATTCTCAGGCCCCACCCCTGACCTACTGCATCAGACTGTCTGGATCTTAGCCAAGAGCATTAGCCATCTGAAGAAAACATTTTCTCAAAAGTTCTGTAATCCTTATGCCCCTTAGCTCTAACCAGGTTACTGTTTTGGAATTTTTAGGAATTTGAGGAAAATGTTTTGGGCATGCCTCCCGCCTCTCACTTGGAGCACACAAAAGAATACCTAGTGCATAGACAAAACTCAATACTTCTATCTCTTCACCCATGGCATGAGCTCTTATTAATATATATGTTTTTTCCTTTTCTTTTCTTTTTTTTTTTTTGAGACAGAGTCTCGCTCTGTTGCCCAGGCTGGAGTGCAGTGGTGCCATCTTGGCTCACTGCAACCTCCGCCTCCTGGGTTCAAGCAATTCGCCTGCTTCAGCCTCCCGAGTAGCTGGGATTACAGGCATGTGCCACCACACCTGGCTAATTTTTGTAATTTTTTAGTAGAGATGGGGTTTGACCATGTTGGCCAGGCTGGTCTCAAACTCCTGACCTCATGATCTGCCCACCTTGGCCTCCCAAAGTGCTGGGATTACAGGCGTGAGCCACCGCGCCCGGCCCCTAAAAAATTTTATTTTTATTAGCATGGAAAATCCATAGCAAATTGTAAAGCTGCAGATGCCATGTTAACACCAAGGTCTTGCAAAATGTGTATACTTACAGGATGTGCAGATATCTTTGTAAAATTCATGGAAAGAGAAAGAGAAAACAAGGCGCACAGGCAGAGGCTCCAGAGAGGCAGTGACACCTGCTGCTCAGCCTGTGTGCCTTCCTGGCAGGTGCTTCCATTACTCAACCTTAATGATGGTGGTTCTTACAGTGGCTCTCGTGGCAGGCCTGCCTCTGACTTCCTGGTGCACCATCATCTGCTGCTGCCTTCAGCAGCTGCCATATTTTATTCCTCCCCCTCCATTTCTTACTTGAGTTGAATTCAGGTGAGGTTGCTAGATTTACCAAATAAAAATACAGGAAGCCCAGTTATATTTGAATTTCAGATAAACATTGAGTAATTTTTATAGCATAAGTATGTTCCATGCAATACTAGGACATAGTCATACTAAAAATAATTTGTTATTTATCTGAAATTCAAATTCAAGTAGGTGTTTTGTGTTTTATCTGGTAAGCTTACTTTAAGGAAAAGGAATTACCATTTCCAGTTGCCTAACTCAGGAGGGGCATTTTCTTTTAGAAAGGAATATACTTTTCCATATAAATAAGGACAGCCTTATCTGCATACACCTGTGCTATCTATTAAGCTAGTCACTAGCCACCTACTGAGGACCTAAAATGGGACTAGTCTGAATTGTGTAAATACTGGGTTTTGAAGAATTTGTGTGAAAGAGACTATAAGATGTCTCGATGTTTTTTTACAAATAGGTTATATGCTGAAATGATTTTGGATGTACCGGGTTAAAAAGTATTGTTAACTCTCTTTTCCGGCTGGAACCATGGAGGGTGTTGAAGAGAAGAAGAAGGTTCCTGCTGTGCCAGAAACCCTTAAGAAAAAGTGAAGGAATTTCACAGAGCTGAAGATCAAGCGCCTGAGAAATAAGTTTGCCCAAAAGATGCTTCTAAAGGCAAGGAGGAAGCTTATCTATGAAAAAGCAAAGCACTATCACAAGGAATATATGCAGATGTACAGAACTGAAATTCAAATATCGAGGATGGCAAGAAAAGCTGGCAACTTCTATGTATCTGCAGAACCCAAATTGGCGTTTGTCATCAGGATCGGAGGTTATCAATTGGGTGAGCCCAAAGGTCTGAAAGGTGTTGCAACTTCTTTGCCTTCATCAAATCTTCAATAGAAACTTTGTGAAGCTCAGCAGGGCTTCAATAATGTGCTGAGGTTTGTAGAACCATATATTGCATGGGCATACCCAAATCTGAAGTCAGTAAATAAACTAATCTACAAATGTGGTTATAGCAAAATGAATAAGAAGCTACTTGCTCCAACAGATAATACTTTGATTGCTCGATCTCTTGGTAAATATGGCCTCATCTGCATGGAGGATCTGATTCATGAGATCTATACTGTTGGAAAATGCTTAAAGAAGCAAATAACTTCCTGTGGCCCTTCAAATTATCCTCTCGACAAGTTAGAATGAAGAAAAAGACCACCAATTTTGTAGAAGGTGGAGATGCTGACAACAGGGAAGACCAGATCAACAGGCTTATTAGAAGAATAAACATGCCTACCACAATTATTTTTTGTAATCTAGCCAGTTAATAAACAGTACCTGCTCTCAAATTGAAAAAAACAAAAAACCAAAAAGTATTATTAAGATTAATGTAGTCTGTTTCTTTTTCCTCTTTGACTGTGGCTACTAGGAAATTTAAAATGGCATAGGTAGCTTGCATTCATAGTCCACATTCCATTTCCACTGGACAGTGCTGGCCTGGAGCTGGAGCCAAGTCCGGGAGACATAATGACCATCAGGCCAGGAGCAAAGTGCCACCCTTTCGAGAAAGTGTGAGATTCTCCTCATTATAAGCTTGTGGCTTAAATGGCTGGCGGTGTACAGGTTCTTTGAATGCAGTATTTATTCACATAGTTTTCATTTTCTGTCCTGACAAAAACTTGGTGATGTTTGAATGATTACAGAACAAATAGGATTGTGGTTTATGTTTCCTATTATGCATATTTGGCAGTTGAATTATGACATTAGATTGGGACATGGTGAGAGGGGGCAGGATACGGGGTAGGAGGAGGGGAGCAAGTTACAAAGGGCCCCAGTTCCGGGAAGCTGGGCTGAGTTGTTCTGTTTAACTTCTTCTTCCTTTATTCCTATGGTTTTATGATTGCAAATTGGCAGTGGCAGGGCAGCTCTGACTATATTTGCTAGAAGCAGATGTCCACATTAATTTAGATGTTTAGGGATTAAAAATCATAGAGGGTGGCGCTAGGAAATATAGAAAATGCCAATGAAAATTTTTGTCAGGCAAATTAAATCTTTGCAAGTCCCCCGACTTCTGAAAACTATTTACAGAACTGGATTCTGAAAGTGGGACATCTTTTTATAACATAAAATATCTGGGGATTTCAAGGTTTAGATCTAGGACTTTTAAGTCCTGTGTTTGATCTGCCAACCCCTCCCTCTTTCCTCCCTCCATTACTTAACCTTTTTCCCTGAAGTTCCTGGAAAGCAAATAAACACTCGTGAAAGCAAAGGAAACAAAAATTTAGGACCTTTTAGAAGCCAAGAGCTTGGTCAATGGTAAAATAACCTGATCTTTACCAAGCTCCATTTAAAATGTTTATGCCAACCATGTCAAATTGAAGAATCAGTTCTCAGCTGTAGGATCCACCATCTGTTGATTTCCATTTTTTCTTCCTGATCTCACCACCCACTGTCTGGGATGCCACATTGCCCTTCACAGATGCTTTGCCACCTGATTCTAAGATGTGACATCCAAGATCTCCAGCCAGAAAAGGAGTTGCTGCCACATCTTGTATGAACTAGCAATCAAGTGGCTATTTCGTCCAGCCCATTAGCCCTCCACCCACCCCCTTGGTCTTTCACTTGGCATTACTTTCAGTATCTTGAGGATTATTGTAGTACTGTGTAACACATGGCCTTTCAGTAAGAAAAGCGTTGATGGCATTGCCTGGCAGAAGGAAGTAGAGAGCAGAGGCTTAGGGGCTGTGTGCCAGATGGCATTTTGGGAGAAGGAGAACATCTCACTTCTTTGAAGGCTTGAGATCTCAGGTCCAAAGGAGACTGAGTGTGTGGGAGGAGTGGTAGCTACTGACCAGGAAGTTGTTGCTGGCTGCACTTCCCTCCTGATAGGGAATCCTGGATTGCCTACAGAGGGGTCTGAGGCAATTGTATCTGGTTTGGGGTTCTACCAAGTGAAGCTGGAGATTTGTAAAAGCTTGTCATCTATTGATCGTTGGTCCTTGTACTATACCAATGTGGAGATGGAGACATAGTGCAATTTGCTTAGATTTAGGTGCCAAAAAAAAAAAAAAAATCAGACGTCTCAGGCTCATCTCAACAGATTATATTGCCAAGTGTCAAGTATTAGACTATGACTTCATTCTCCTTATTTACTGCCTAATTATAGTCATGTTGTGCACCACTGTGTTTGTACTATTTTGAGATTCAGCTATAAGGCAGTGCAGTTTATCATAGCAAATCAAAGCAGGTGAGAGGAAGGACAGGGTTTGGGTGTAGCCTAGTGTGTTTGATGGTGGTGAGGCATAGTCAGCAAGACAGAAAAGGAACAGGACCCAAGGGCACTGCAATCTCTCATCCTGGTTGAGGCATGAGATGGGAGAATCCCCCAACAGGTACAGCAATGATGGTAAATACAGGCAGATAGTTCCAGCTAGGGCTGGAAAGATCTAAAGACTTGTTCACTCACACATCTTGTTGGACCTTAGTTGGGGCTGTTGGTCTGAATACCTACATAGAGACTGGTGATAGTGGGACATCAGCCTCAGGTGTTCAGATTTTCCATGTGGCAGCTTGGACTTCCTCATAGCATGGTGGCTGGGATCCAAGAGCTAGGATCCCAGGAGAAGGAGGTAGAAGCTGCACGTCCTTTTCAGACCTAGCCTCAGAAGTCACACAGCATTACTTTTGCCATAGCCTGTTGGTGTAGAAGTCCTAAGCCGCTGGCCAGAATCAAATGGAGGAAACATGGACATTACTTTTCAATGAGAAAAACATTAAAGAAATTTGGGGCCATATGTTAAAACACAATCTGTCCTATGACCACAATTGTTTACTTTCCTCCCAAATGCAACATATATTCACTCCACCAAAGATTCTAGAACAATCTCATTCCATTATTAAATCAGGCTCAGACTCGAGGTCCACATGCAATTGAGGCTCCTGCAGTGTGGTTCCTCAAGTCCATCTTCCTGAGTACCATCCTTCTCAATCTGAAAACCTGTAAATTAAAGAGACTGATGATCTGTCCTACAGTGGTGGAACAGGAATAGGATAACTGCAGTAGATACTCCCATTCAGAAAGTGAGAAAGTAGGAGGCACACAGCAGCCACTGGTTCACAGCAATTCTGAAATCTCCAAGGCACATGTGGCTAATTCCTTTATTAGGGCTTACTTTGCTCTTATACTTATTATCTGAGAATGATCTCCCATGGTTCTTATCTCTGCCCTCTAGGCTCTGAGTTACTCTTCCTTGTCCTTGAGAAATGGACCCATAGGTAATGCTAGGAGATTTGAGAAGAGAGGAAGCTAGTACCTGGCTCACTTGTTCATAGGAAGCAGAGCTCTGGATCCTGGATTTGGTTCTGGAGCAGGGATCTGGCAGTCCCTGGGCATAGAGACTGGTGATAATGAAACATACGGACCTGGTTCTTATAGTAGGGAGTAGACAGACATTAATGTCTCAGGCCCCTTACACAAAATGAGGGACTGGGCTTAGGTATTCTTTAGCTCAGGTAGGGTAGAGGACCCAGATAAATAAGGGAGTTTTCCTATAAGGAAAAGATTAAAACTATTTCAGTCCATGGGAGCTTGGTCAAATTGACAAAAAATATGCTTAGTTTTTTTTTTTCTGGAGCCAAATTCACTTCCTAGAAGTAAATCCGGGCCCTTTGAGAGCTGAATTGCTTTCAGCAACATTAATATAATACATTAATTTGCTATTCCTAGGTGATATCATGAAGGAGTTTTAAATTGAGGTAGTTTTCCTGCAGAGCTGCTAGAATATTTTAATTATTTCCTTATGGTATATATTTCGCTTACTTCCAAGTGGGATTGAGGCAGTATACATCTAAAAAGATTATCAAAACAAAAATAAAGGATCAGAAACTATATAAATAAGTGTGCTAAGACTTAGGGTTAATTTAGTAACAATGACTGAATATTAAATGTGCTCTAAGCTTCATTCCAGAACATACTTTCATACAGCTGTGTCTATGTTTGGTATGTCTTTGAATATGCATAAGAGTCTAAGTATTTGCTTCTGGAAATATTTACTTCCAACTTCTTTAAAGATAAAGCATCTCATTTATTTAGAATGGAATGTTTGAAGTTGGAGGAGTCTTTAGAGATCATCAACTCCAGCTTCTTCTCTCTGCAGCTGAAGGCTGGAGGATCCAGAGAGATTCAGGGGCTTGCCCAAAGGTCATACTGATTGATCAGAGTTGAAGTTGACTTCATAGCCCAGTGTTCTTTCCTCTGCACCATAAAGGAGCAATTCTTTTTTTTTTTTTTTTTGAGACAGAGTTTCACTCTTGTTGCCCGGGCTGGAGTGCAATGGTGCAATCTCGGCTCACCGCAACCTCCGCCTCCTGGGTTCAAGCAATTCTCTTGCCTCAGCCTCCCAAGTAGCTGGGACTACAGGCATGCACCACCACACCTGGCTAATTTTGTATTTTTACTAGAGATTGTGTTTCTCCATGTTGGCCAGGCTGGTCTTGAACTCCCGACCTCAGGTGATCCGCCCACTTCGGCCTCCCAAAGTGCTGGTATTATAGGTGTGAGCCACCGTGCCCAGCCCATAAAGGAGCAATTCTTAGAGCTGAAGTTTTCAGAGTCCACTGTTAATTAATAATTTAATGAGAAAGGAAAAACTATATGTTTGCAATAAAAAAATATGATTTGATATACACAGATCTGATTTTAGATATGAAGTGGCTCTAAACACACATGAACCAGCAGGCTCATGGCTGGACAGTGGTAAATACAGGGAGACAGCAGAGTAGAGACAGGGTTAAGGGTAAGACTGTGAAGAGAGACCCCTGAGGGAGGCCAGAAGTTGTCCTCCTGGTCTCTGCTCACAGTGAGGCTCCAGAGAAGGTGAGAAGTCAAGTCTGGATGCCACTACTCTCCTCTTCAGCCATACAGTGAAGTGAAAGCCATTACAAGTAGGATTTGGTCAAATCAAAGAATTTCAGTCTTGCATGTCATTTTCTGACTTCCAAGGAGTTAGAATTCAATCAGAGAAGCAGAACCATATAAGTGATATAAAATATTTATTATAGGGATGAGATCTCACGCAATTGTGGGACCTTGGTGAGTGTATAGGTAAGTCTGTTGCTCCTGTGTCTAGTGCTGGGCCTGAAGTCAGCAAGGCCAGCAGTCTGGAAAGGAAGATCAATATGAAGTGGGGGAGAGAAAGGATAAATTGGAACCCACATCAGTCTCTCAATGCCTCCAAACCCTCCAACTCCAACAATGTTGGGATTTGCAGAATGGCTGACTCATTTCACCCCAAAGCTGTTCACAAACTTGGCCCAGGATTCAGAGAAGCTAAAGAGAAGATCCAGTAGGAGGTGGAGGAACTACGTGCTTGCAGCTGCCCTGATGGACAAAGTGAGCCACAAGATCAGTGACTATGGGCAGAATGCAACAGCACCTGCTTCTACACCTCCATCTCATTTTAAACATGCTGCTGCTTCACTTCCACCTTCACATGTGCACATTTTCTTGTGGGCAACTCTGATAGACAACCATGCAGAGAAGGGAATTTCGGGAGATGTATTTCCAGCTTAGCTAAGTTGATTTCATATAAGCCACCACATCCATGAATTAAATTACTCTCCTTATTCTCCCAATAATCTTATATTCAGTGCACTAGCCAAAGGGTTGGTAAGCTTGCTATTTTTTTAATTCTTAGGAAAGCTTAGAGAGGGAGAGTACATGAGAAAAAAAGACATTTCATGAAACAAATTAGCAGAAGCATTCATGGAGGGACACACTGATCTCACTGATATGGTGGTCACACAGTAACTTTTAAGGAACAAATCTTTCTCATAAAACAAGGCACATCTCTACCTGAAATTGTAACTGCTGGACTAGAACAAAGTAATCTGAGCAGCTTGAATGTACCTTGTAAAAGGGCTTTTGTTTCATTTAGAAAATAACTTGAACCCTGGGAAAATCTGGATCAAGTTGAGAGAGAGAAAGAAAGAGGAAGTGGAAGAGAGAAGAGAGAGAGAATGAGTTTGAGAGTGAATTTTAGAGTAAAACATAGCACATTGTATGACCTCCAGGCTATAATAGAGTGTATATAAAGCATATATATAAAGCATATATAAAAGCCCCTGAAGGCTTATGAGAGGTAAACTGCAAAGCATTGACTAAATATATCATTTGGCCAATTTTCCCATGACAATTTAGTTTGGTGCCCTTTGACTGGGACGTTCTGTTTTTTTTTTCCCTTTAAAAAAAATAAAATAAAACTAACATGTACCTCTCACCTGGCTGAAGGCTTAACAAAAACTTGAAAGACTTCCCTAGACTACAGTGCCAACAGAGTGGGAAATCTGGGCACAGGGCCTAAATTCAGATGCTACTTCTCCAAGACCAGAAAAATAGACTAATATTATTAGCTGCATTTTGTTTTGATGTTAAGTGAATAATGAAAAGGGCTAAAGGACACCATGACTATCTGGGAAACAAAGAATGCCAGGTGGTGGTATGCCCTGTTGCAGGCAGAGGGAGGCATTTGAGTTTGCTATTGAGTTAAAGGAAGAATTTGTCTCGGTCTGTGAATCAGGCGCAATCTGTTCACTAAGTTAGAGGTTGCAGAGTATCTTACCCTCAAGTGAGATAACATGTGCCTGTGCTTGTCATTTCCACAATAGGCATGCAGCTGCTTTCTTGAGATGGTTTACTTCATTACACAATTTCTTTCTAATATTAGACCATAGGTTTTTCTTTATTGTGGTAAAACATTATATAGCATTAAATTTACCATATTAGCCATTTTTAAGTATATAGTTCAATAGCATTAAGTACATTCACATCATTGTGCAACACAGTTCTAGAACTTTTTGTCTTGCAAAACTGAAACTCTATACCAACTAAACATTAATTTTTGCCTCTCCAACCCCCTAGCCCTTGGCAACCACATTTCTACTTTCTGTTTCTATGGTTTTGACGCTTAAGATACTTCATATGGTTAGACTCCTACAATATTTATCCTTCTGCAACTGGCTTATTTCACTTGGCATAACTTGAAGTTCACCCATGATGAGGCATGGGATAGAATTTCCTTATTTTTAAAGGCTGAGTAATATTCCATTGTGAATATACTCCACATTTTCTTTACTCATTAATCTGTTGATGAACATTTGGGTGGCTTCCACCTCTTGGCTCTGTGAATAATGCTGCGATGAACATAGATATGCAACTACCTCTAAAGATCCTGCTTTGAATTCCTTTGGATGATACCTACAAGTGGAATTGTTGGATCATATGGTAATTTTATTTTTAATTTTTTGAGAAACCTCCATGTTATCTTCCATAATAACTGCACATTCTCACCAACAGTACACAGGAGTTTCAATTTCTCCACATCCTTAACAATCTTTGTTATTTTGTTCTTTTGATAGTGGTTATTCTAACGGGTGTGAGGTGATGTCTCATTGTGGTTTCAATTTGCATTTACTTATAATTAGGGATGTTGATCATATTTTCATAGGACAAAGGCATTTATAAGAACAAATATTTTGTGCAAAATAATATGGGGAAAAATTAAGGTAGTAAGGTTGAGGGTGAATCTTGTGGCCATGGTAAGAACATATTTTCTTTTTAATGTGGGATTGTATTTGAAAACTCTCACACAGTTTAATCATTTTGTTCTGCCATTATTTGGCCATCCTTGTACTTTCTGACTCGGTCCTCCATGAGAAGGTAACATCTGAATTTGTGAGTCATTAATTGTCAGGATTAGAAATAATTTAGTAGATCTTCTAATTGTAACATCCACATTTTACAGTTGAGTAAACTTTGGATTAAAAAGTGAAAAAAATTCAATTGAGAGCAATATCTTGATATAAGGGGAAAATCCTTCTGATTACTGAGAATTTTAATTTTTTTCCTGGCTTCATTGAGGTATAATTGACAAATAAAATTGTATATATTTAAGATATACAATGTTATAATTTTATATACATATACATTGTGAAATGATTATTACAATCAAGTTAGTTAACACTTCCATTACCTTACATAGTTACCATTTTTAAAAATGGTGAGAACCTTTAAGGTTTACTTTCTAAGCAAATTTCAAGTATACAATACAGCATTTATTATTACCTATAGACACAATGCTGTACATTAGATCCAAAGAACTTATTCATGTTATAATGGAAAGTTTTTAACCATTTGACCAACATCACCCTATTTCTCCCACCACTAAGCACCCAGCAACCACCATCCTACTCCACAACTACAAGTTCGATTGTTTTTTAGATTCCTCACATAAGTGAGATCATATAGTATTTCTCTTTCTCTGTCCAACTTTTTCACTTAGCATGATGCCCTCAAGTTGCACCCATGTTATCACAAATGACAAGATTTCCTTCTTTTTTATAGCTGAATAATATTCCATTGTGTTTGTGTATATGTGTGTATATATATGTGTATGTGTATATATGTATATATGTGTGTATATATGTATGTGTATATATATTATATATGTATATATAAGTATGTGTGTATATATGTGTATATATACACATATATACTTATATATGTATGTGTATATATATTATGCATATATATACACACATACACATATATACTTATATATATATATATATACACACATTTCCAATAAAATCCAAGTGTATACATATGTGTATATATATACATATATATATGTATATCACAGGTGTGAAGTGATATTTCATTTTGATTTGCATTTCTATGATGATTAATGATGTTGAGAGCTTTTTTTATGTAATTGATGACTGTTTGTATGTCATTTTTGAGAAAATGTCTATTTATGTCCTTTGCCCACTTTTTAATTGGACTATTTAGTTTTTTTTTCTATTAAATTGTATGAGTTCTTACATATTTTGGATATTAACCCCTTGTCAGATACGTGGTTTGGAAATATTTTATCCCATTCTGTAAGTTGCCTTTTCATGTTTTAATTGTCTCCTTTGCTGTGCAGAAGCTTTGAAAAACTTAAATTCTAGTTTCCATTATTAGTTTTATGGAATCTAGAAATATTAGGAAGTTTCAGTTTCTGAAACCTGTGGTTGAACATATTTTGAATAATTGCCACAATTTTTCTGAGATCTCTGCAAGATGTTTTGTTTTGTAAATCCCCTCCTTTTTTGTGGCTCTGATGAAAATCGTTGAGTGCTACGCTTTGGAATCAGACCAGATTATTTGGCTTATATACCTTATAATTAAAACAAACATTAACTTTTACTTTTACTTATGTTTTGAGAGCACTGAGAGCAAATTCATATATGTGATCTCATGATAGCAGAAGGTTAGGAATATAAGAGCAGATCAGTTCAGCTCCTATCTTGCGGCAGGTGCTGTTCTGGGCCTTATGGGGTTTAAACAATCTCAACAAATACGGACAGGATCCTCAAAACTAGTGCAGGCCTGACTATTCTTCCCAGAGTATCCTGTGTGTATTAGTCAGGGTTCTCTAGAGAAAAAGAACCAAATACGCACACACACACACAGATATATATATATGCACACACACACAGATATATATATACACACACACACATACACACATACATACATATATGTATATGCTTGCACACACACATACACACATATACATATGGAAAGAGATTTATTACGAGGAATTGGCTCATATGATTATAGAGGCTGAGAAATCCCAAGATCTCTAGTTAGCAAGCTGGAGACCCAGGATTGCTGATGGTATAGTTTCAGGCTGAAAGCCAGCAGGCTCAAGACCCAAGAAGAGCTGATGTTTCATTTTGAGTCCAGAGGCTGGAAAAGACTGATGTCCCAGCTCAAAGCAGTCAGGCAAGAGAAGTCCCCTCTCACTCAGCATTTTTCCTCTATTTGGATCTCAACTTGATTGGAGGAAGCCCAACTACATTAGGGAGGGCAATCTGCATTACTCAGTCTACTAATTCAAATGTTAATCTCATCCAGAAATACCTTCACAGATACCCAGAATAACGTTTAACCAAATATCTGGACACCCTGTGGCCCAGTCAGGTTAAAATATTAAATTAATAAGTACACTATGGTGACCACTGAGGGTTTCCAGTATGACTTTGGGGATATATGGACAAGTTGGCTAGCTGTGTGACCTTGGGCAAGTTATTTAACTTCACTGTGCTTCAGTTTTCTCATTTGTAAGGTAAAGATGATAATATTTCCTCCCTCATTGGATTGTCTTGAAGATTAAATAAATTAGTATTTGTAAAATGTTTAGAAGCATGAATGGCAAGTTGTAAATGGAACATGTTATATATGATTTTAACATATTTTAATAGTTGTCTATGTATTTTGATGTACAGTAAAAAGAAATACAACTAGCATGATTTCAAGGATATTTTTGGTCAGGATGAGGCTAAGTAAAAAAAACAGTAAGTTGATTTCAAGACAAATAGTAAGTAAATACTACTATAGGAGGTATGTGGAAATGATAAAAACTGTGACAATGGAAAAAGTAGGTGATAACATTTAGAAAATACCCAATTTTCTGAGGAATTTCCTGGAACTGAAAGCTTTCCTGAGATGTAGAACATTTAGTACTAAAACTGGGTAACTCTCCAGTAAACCAGGATGGTTGGGCACCCTGTATACAACTACAGCCTGATATTTATCCCACAAGCATTTTTTGAACACTTGTGTTGTTCCAGGCAGTGGGAGCCTTCAAAGGACCCTGCCTCTAATGTGCTCTAAGTAGAGTGGACCCCAGTCCATATCCTGCCACTGACATGCTTGTGATTTTAAGCAAGGCTCTTTGGCTTCTCTCAACCTGTGTTTCTTAGTGTACAAAAGAAGTGGTTGAAATAATGATCTCTAAAACCCTTCCAGCACTGGAGTTCTTTGATATGAAGCACAGAGTACGTCTGCTACTGTTAAAATCTCAACTCCCACTGATGGCCAGCATGAGAAAAGAACAATGAGCAAAGCATGCATTGTAATTATTTTCTTAGCTCTCAGTTCCAGCCTGAGGTAGAGGAGCCTCTTCTATGCTCCCAACCAACCAAAACTCTGACACAAAATGATCATCCCAAATGTAGGATCCCTTGGAAATGCCTGAATAATGTATGCGGCCTAGGAAATTGGCAGAAGAGACACTTCTCAATAGGCTCAAACATGTAAGATTTACATAAGAAGCACCTGCACAATTTATTAGGGTGAGAGGAGATGTTTATGAGGTCAGGAAATATAGGTTGCTGTAACTGTGGTTGTGTTTAGAAGTTGAAAATGAATCTTTGGTGGCTGGACCAGGATAAATTATTTACTTGGTTGATTAAGAGACTCTCATCTAGAGTGTTGTTTCTCTTCATCAAATAACCTTTCAAAGTTGGCAATATTCCAAATTTCAGGGACGTTATGTTACACAAGAGTGTAACTCACTGACCATCTGTTTTTGTGTGACTAAAACCATCTTACAGTTGTGGCTTGGAAAAGCTATCTCACACAAATTGTTATTTATATATATATTTTTCCAGAGTCAATTTAATGCAACAAATATCTGGAGTGCTAGTTATGAGCTCAATTCTGTGAAGTCATGAAGAGGAATAAGAATCTCAGTTGCTAGGAGCCTTAGCTAAGAGAAGCTCAACAGGAATCCAGTCATCCACATTATATTGATGTTGCCATTTGTGGAGAATCTGATTATTTTTACTTGGAATTGAGGTTTGCCTTCTGTGAGATATGGTGGACAGGAATAAGGCTCTGGGTACTGGCCAGTCTAAGAAGAGTTTCTTGGCTCCTGAGAACTTAGTTTTCAGGAGTCCTGTCTTTTTTCATAATAAACCTCTTCTAAAGCTTGTAATGCCCAGACTTCCTTCAGACAACATTCTAATTATAGCTCCCCTGAGTCACTGGAGGTTTTTAGAACCAGAATGTTGAGAGAGAGAGAGAGAGATAGACTATAAAAGCAAGCTTACCAGCATGGGGGTATAGCTCAGGGGTAGAGCATTTGACTGCAGATCAAGAGGTCCCTGGTTCAAATCCAGGTGCCCCCTGTGCATTTGTGTTTTTGTTTCAGAAGAACATGGATTGACTTTGACTTCTTATCTTCTATGGCTCATGGCTGATTGAATAATAACTAATGTCCCTGGCTTGCATTCTTAGTACATGCAAGTCTAGGCCCTTTACATTGGTTCTCCTCTATTTCTGACCACAGTTTTACAAGACACATACTTGTTTGCTTGTATTTCCATTTTACATGAGGAGGCTGAGACTTGGAGATACTTAGTAATTCACTCAAGGTCAAAAAGCTATAAAGGGCAGATTCAGGATTTGAACTCAGAGCACACACTCTCACTGACTTAAGTATACTACACATACTGCTCTCCTAATGTTAAAATCTTTGTGACAAACTCCTACTAGGCAATGTTCCCACGGTCCTGTGATTGCCTATAGAGTTTTAGAACCTGTTGGCCACAAGGAAAACCAGGGACTTAGTGACTGTGCCCATACTTTGCACTGCCCTGGGGAAAGCGAAGGAATAGGGTTTTATCCACAGAACATTTTCAGGGAGGTGAACAAGAACTGGTCTGAAGTTTAAGGAACTGCATTTTTCTGCTTTAAAGCTTAAGGATTTCTATTACCTTCCATCCCCTGTTCATTTCCTACAGCCAAATACCCCCACATTGGGTAACTTCATTCAGGACCCAGGCATGGAGCCAGAAGTCAGGTGTAACTCCCACCCACAATACAGGCAATGCTCTGTTTTTAGATCAGTCTGAACAACATACACTGGGCACCTACTATGTACCAGAACCATGCAAAGTGTGAGCCCAGTGGTGAATAAGACATTAGCCCCTGCCCTCATTCAGGGTGTAGGCATATAGAATAAGAAAATAGAGTGTATGAGCTGTACCTAGCTGCGATAGGTGCAGTAACACAGAAGAGGCAGCGATTACATCTGTTCAGAGGAGGGGAGGTGAAGGTAAGCGTCTGGAGGAGCTGATGGCCAGTCAGGGTTTCAAAGATGAATAATATCTTACAGATGGAGGGTGGAATGGAGGTGGGGTTGTGGAGAGGGATGGTTGCAATTCCAGGCAGAGGAAACAGTGCAGCAGAAGCTGAAGCCAGGTAGATGCAGATGGAGGCAGCTGGAGCACAAAATGTGATATGGAGAGTGCCAAAAGATAACGCTGAAGCTGAGGAGGCAGGTAAAAATCAGAGAGAAGAACTGCATGTTGTGCTAAGAGACTTGAAGTTTATTGTGATGGCGTTTAAAGGGCAGTGATCTAGATGGACTTAGTTTTCCAACAGGCTGCTCTGGAAGCAGTACAGGGTGGATGTGGGGGTGGAGGCCGGGAGGGTATTTAGGAGGTGGTGGCACTGACAGTGCAGGGGTGGAGATGGATTTGAGCAATGTCAAAGATAAAATCAATAGTGTCTTCTGATTCACTGGAACTGGGGAGGAGAGGGTGGGAGGAGCCTAGAGTTGCCTTAAGTGTTTTGGTCTAGATGACCGAGTACAGGATGGTGGCATCTCCAACCAAGATAGGAAGGAGACTGCTCAGCTGGTTAAGCAGCTGGGCTCTTCACACAGTCTGAGCCTACGCTGGAATCCTGGCCCTACCACCTGCTAGCTGTGTGACCTAGGGCTAGATATTCCAATCAATCTGTGACTCAGTTTCCATCCTGTATACTACTACTCATGCCTATTTTATAGGATTTTTGTAACAATTACATGGAGGTTGTTGGTAGAACTTTTAGTACCATGCCTGGCATATCGAAAATGCCCAACATATGTGAGCTATTATTATTACAACAAAGCAAAATAGATGGAGAGGCAGGTTTGGACAAGAAGATGATAAGCTTAGGTTTGGGTATACTGGATTTGAAATCTGAGGCTCCTGTTGGGCATCAGATTGGGCGGGTGCTGGGAGTGGGTGTCTGGGGCCCTCAGACAGCTTGTGAGCTGGAGCTCTGGCTGCTGCTTGTTCCCTGGCCCCATGGCAGCTGACAGACCTCATCAGGGAAAATTTGTTGCAATGACAAAAATTTCCTTGATCTTTTGCTCAATCTTGGAGATGCACGAGGTTGAGTTCTTAGATTGGAACTCAAAGGAATAGGAATCAGAGGTGTTCAAAATTGAGTTTTGGGCTTTGGAACATTCAGGGTGCTTTGTTTTTCTTTTTGGTGTTTTTTTTTTTTTTTTTTTACACTGAAGTGAGATAGTTGGTCCTGGATGAGGTCCCTGTTGAAAATCTGATAAAAATATGCACAATATACAATATGTGCAAATACATAATATTTGCCTATAATTTCAGAATTGAACATGAACATCTGAAGTCAATTTGTGGATTCCCACTTCAGATCTCCTCCATGTCCAATACTTGTTGGTAGCCCCTAATGCTCAAAACATTCATTGACGTGCCCAGAGATCTATGGGCAGCTGGTGGTGTATTTTTTTAAAGCTGGAATATTAGACTGAGGATACAGCATTGAGCTTCAGGTGCTGGGAAGAGAATGAGTATAAATGCTCTGGGAAAAACAAAAGATGGTACGGCTAGGAGGAAACTGGGGATGAGTTTAAATTCGAAAGGAATGTTAGACACCAAAGGTATTTATGAGGTGTTTTGCAGGTCATAAAAATGGAATAAATGGTTTTTTGAAGGTTATTGGCATCAAGGGGGTGTAGCTCAGTGGTAGAGCATTTGACTGCAGATCAAGAGGTCCCTGGTTCAAATCCAGGTGCCCCCTATGACATACTTTTGCTCCTCTTGGCAGCTTCATTAAAAATCCTGGACTAGGGTAAGGCAAGCAAGGTGCGTAAGGCTCAAAATTTAAGCAGATACTTACTCTCAGGTTCATGCAAGTGCCTTGGCTCACTAGTTCCCTTATAGCAGAGCTACCATCTCACATAAACTCACCCTGCCTCTAATATGCACACACAAACCCAGTCATAAACCATGACACATACACACACACGTGTGCTTTCTTACATGTGTCTTTATCTCTTCTTTCCTGTATATTCAATCTTATTAACCAGGCACTTTTTCCTCTCCCTTTCTTCAAGTTTTAAAATTTATTTTAGATTTCATGGAAGAGTTTATAAATTCTGTAAATTTTAGATTTACAGAAGAATTGTTAAGATAGCAATAGAGAGGTTTTGTATACCCTTTACCTACCTTGTAACATGTTAACATGTTACATAATCATGGTATATTTATCAAAACTATGAAATGAAATGTTTGAGGTGATGGATATGCTAATTACCCCCAATATGATCATTATACACTGGATACATTTATCAAGATATCACACTGTATCACAATTATTATATGTCCATTAAAGGTAATAATAAAATAAAACAGACATGCTGGTCCAACACCATTTAGTTTTATTTTTACTTTGTGTCAGTATAGACTAGATGTATATATTTATGGGTTACATGAGATATTTTGATACAGGCATGCAATGGTGCAACACTGTTAACCAAATGACAGACTATTCAGATTTCTCCAGTTTATTTTTTCTGCTATTTTTTTTCTCTGCTCCAGGATTCAATCCAGGATACCATGTTGCATTTAGTTGCTATCTTTGTAATGTCTCAGTCTTCTTCAGACTGTGACAGTTTCTCAGTCTTTTCTTGTTTTTGTCATTTTTCTTTTAACCTTGACATTTATAAAAAATCCTGGTTAAATATTTTGCAGAATGTCCTCACTTTGGATTTGTCATGATTAGACTGGGGTTGTGAATTTTTAGAAAAGCTGTCACAAGGATAATGTGCCATTTTTTTTCATATCACATCAGGGGTGGAAGATAAGGCTGCAACGATTTAAGGTTCTGCTACACTGGTAAAACTTTTAGGGCCGGGTGTGGTGGCTCACGCCTGTAATCCCAGCACTCTGGGAGGCCTAGGCGGGCAGATCACCTGAGGTCAGGAGTTCGAGACCAGCCTGGCCAACATGTGAAACCCCGTCTCTACCAAAAGTACAAAAATTAGCCAGGCGTGGTGGCTGGCGCCTGTAATTACAGCTACTCAGGAGGCTGAGGCAGGAGAATTGCTTGAACCAGGGAGGCGGAGGTTGCAGTGAGCTGAGATGGTGCCACTGCACTCCAGCCTGGGAGACAAGAGCAAGACTCTGTCTCAAATAAAACAAAACAAAAAACAAACAAACAGAAAAAACTTTTAGGAGTCCAGCATCTGGGGCATATCGGCATATGCCTTCTAAAGTGAAAGATGTAGCTATGCCTTACACTGCTCACCACACAGAACAAGGCCCATTGCTTGGTGGGACACTTTGGATTTTGGTGGCAATGTATTTTGATGTGCTTCTCTGGTATATTTACCAGATAACAATAACCCATAAGACTGTCAGGTTTTAGTGGATCCCAGACCAAGAAAAGGGTCTGCAGTAAGAGTAGACTATAGTGAAATCTGGTCTTCCATTTGAGTGTTATGACTTAGTATTGAAAGTGTATGCAGTCATAAAAAGGAATGAGATCATGTCCTTTGCAGGGAATGGAGGGAGCTGGAAGTTGTTATCCTCTGTAAACTAACACAAGAACAGAAAACCAAGCACTGCATGTTCTCACTCATAAGTGGGAGCTGAACAATGAGAACACATGGTCGCAGGGAAGGGAACAACACACAATGGGGCCTGTCAGGGCGAGGGGGAGGAAGAGCATCAAGATAAATAGCTAATGCACACGGGGCTTAATACCCAGGTGATGGGTTGATAGTTGCAGCAAACAATGATGGCACACATTTACGTATGTAAGAAACCTGCATGTCCTGCATAGGTATCCTGGAACTTAAAATAAAATAAAATTAAGGGCTGGGTGCGGTGGCTCATGCCTGTAATCCCAGCACTTTGGGAGGCCAAGGCGGGCCAATCACTTGAGCTCAGGAGTTTGAGACCAGCCTGGCCAACATGGCGAAGCAGAGGTTGCAGTGAGCTGAGATCATGCCACTGCACTCCAGCCTGGGCAACAGAGTAAGATTCTGTCTCAAAAAACAACAACAACAACAACAAAAAATTAAGTTAAAAAATAAAAAAAGAAAATGTGTGTGTCTAGAAGCTGAGAGCAGTTTGGTGGGGTAGGTTGTGGAGATGTTGGTCAAAGCATACAAAATTTCACTTAGACTGGAGGAAAAATTCAACAGGTCTATTCTACAACATCGTGGTTATAGTTAATAAAAATGTATTGTATACTTGAAAATTGCTGAGGATAGAAAATGACTGAGGTGAGTCTCAATCAATTTAGAGGTTTATTTCACCAAGGTTGAGGATGTGCCTGGGCAAAAGGAACACAAAATCACAGTAACATCTGTGATCTGTGCTGTTTTCAAAGAGGATTTAGGGACTTCAGTATTTAAAGGGGAAAGAGCAGGCAGTAGGGGAAGGAGGACAGAAAAAGGGAAGGAGAGTAGGTAAGAGGCAAGTGCTTGCACTCCTCTGAGGCTTTGTGCAGGGTTCACTGAATTCACATTTTACATGTGAAAAGAGGGGGTAGAGAAATAGTCAACTATGCATTCATCTCTTGCTC
Organism: Homo sapiens; assembly: GCF_000001405.40. Taxonomy (NCBI): domain Eukaryota; kingdom Metazoa; phylum Chordata; class Mammalia; order Primates; family Hominidae; genus Homo; species Homo sapiens. The sequence continues at coordinate 132,226,306 of NC_000003.12, read as the reverse complement.
TGTGAATATGAATTTTTACATAAGATGAAGTAAAGATAGAGTGGAGGAAGCAGTCAAATATGCATTTGTCTCAGGTGAGCAGAGGGATGACTTCTAGTCCTATCTTTGTCCTGTACCTGTGAAAATACAGACAACACTGATTTATATTGTCAGGGTAAAATTCCATAGAACACTGTTTTAAGGTAAAGATCTTGGGACCCACAAGGAATTTCCTTCTGAGCAAATTGTAAGGGAGGCCTCCTAGGGTGGTATGTGAACTTCTGTCTTTGGAGCTATCTATTTAGAAACAAAATGGGAGACAGTTTTGCATGACTCAGTTCCCAAGCTTAACTTTTCCCTTTGGCATAGTGAGTTTGGAGTCCCTGAGAGTTCATTTTTCTTTCACAAGATATACAGTCATGCATCACTTAACGGCAGGGCTAGGTTCTAAGAAATGTGTTGTTAGGTGACTTATTCATTGTGCAAACATCATAGCAATGTACTTACACAAACCTACTACACACCTAGGTTCTACGGGATAGCCTATTGCTCCTAGGTTACAAGCCTGTACAGCATGTTACTGTACTGAACATTGTAGGCAATTATAACACAATGGTAAATATTCATGTATCTAAGCATACCTAAGATAGGAAAGACACAGTAAAAATGCCATATAAAAGATTAAAATACTACTGTTGTATAGGGCACTTACCATGAATGGAGTTTGCAGAACTGGAAGTTGTTCTGGGTAAGTCACTGAGTGAGTGGTAAGTGAATATGAAGGCCCACGCCATTACTGTACACTACTGTAGACTTTATAAACACTATATACTTAGGCTACAGTAAACTTATTTTTAACAATTTATTTTTTTAATAATAAATTAACTTTAGCTACTGTAACTTTTTTACTTTGTAAACTTTAAAAATTTTTTTTAAACTTTTTGGCTCTTGTGTAATAATACTTAGCCTAAAACACAAATACATTGTACAGATGTAGAAAATATTTTCTTTCTTTATATCCTTATCCTGTAAGCTTTTAAAAATTTTTACAATTTTTAAATTTTTATTTTTTTTATTTTAAAGAAATAGAGACTGAGTCTCACTATGTTGCCCAGGCTGGTCTTGAACTGGCTCAAGGGATCCTTCTGCCTTGGCCTCACAAAGCGCTGGGATTACAGGTGTGAGCCACCACACAGAGTCAATTTGTTTGTTTGTTTTTTAACATTTTAAACTTTTTGGTTACTAAGATACAAACATGCACATTAGCCTAGGCCTACACAGGGTCAGGATTGTCAACATCACTGTTTTCTACCTCCACATCTTGTCCCACTGGAAAGTCTTCAGGAGCAATAACATGCACGGAGCTGTCATCTCTTGTGATAACAATGCCTTCTTCTGGAATTCCTCCTGAAGGACCTGCCTGAGGCTATTTTACAGTAAACTTTTTTTTCTTTTAATATAAGTAGGAGTACACTCTAAAATAACAATAAAAAGGCCGGGTGCGGTGGCTCACACCTGTAATCCCAGCACTTTGGGAGGCTGAAGCGAGCGGATGACGAGGTCAGGAGATCAAGACCATCCTGGCTAACACGGTGAAACCCCGTCTCTACTAAAAATACAAAAAATTAGCCGGGCGTGGTGGCGGGCGCCTTTAGTCCCAGCTACTCCGGAGGCTGAGGCAGGAGAATGGCGTGAACCCGGGAGGCGGAGCTTGCAGTGAGCCGAGATCACGCCACTGCTCTCCAGCCTGGGAGAGAGCGAGACTCTGTCTCAAAATAAATAAATAAATAAGTAAAATAACAATAAAAAGTATAATATAGTTAATACGTACACCAGTAACATAGCGCTTTGTCATTATCAAGTATTATGGACTGTACATAATTGTATGTGCTGTGCTTTTATATAACTGGCAGTAAAGTAGGTTTGTTTATCCCAGTATCTCCACACATGTGTAAGTAATACATTGCCCTACAATGATATGACGGCTATGACTTCGCTAGGCAATAGGAATTTTTCATTCCATTATAATCGTATGGGACCACTGACATACATGCAATCTGTTGTTGATGGAAACTTTGTTATGTGGCATGTGACTGTATAAACAAATATATTTCAAATTATTTAGAAACTATGGTAATTTATTATGAGACAAGAATTGGGCATCTCATATTTAAAAAGCAACTTATTTTTGTTTTTCTAAACAATTTTTTGAAAGATTCAACCTTGAAATGAAGACTACCTTGTCTATGCCTATGAAGTAAAACACAGAATCATTTTTTAACCATTTTTTTTTACTTTGAAAAAAAGTGTTTACTGCTCTGTCTTCCTTTCTAAACCTGTCCATGTGATTTTGTGATCTTTTCCCACTATAAAATCAAAATACCTTTATTGTATAAAACTTTAAACATACATCAAAGAATATAGGTAGAAAAAATACAATTTGACTGGATCTAAATCACTGTTTTTATTTTAACTGTTGTCTTTTTTATTTGTAGTTGTGTTCAGGCACGTGAATGTGAGTGGGTTGTTTTTGTGTGTAAATATTTAACAAAAATTGGAATACATATGTATCAGGCTTATCTTAAGCAGCATGTCAAATCTTTTTGGCCTTGACTATTTCTAAGGCCTTTGGCCACCAATTCTTCCCTGGCTGTCAGTGAGTAACCAAATGTGTGGGCTCTACAAACTGCACACAGACAAAAATCCCTACTGTCCTTTACCTCCTGCCCGCACTGGATGCCACTCACCTCCCACTCTTGGCTTCCCTCTTGCATTTGAGGTGTGTGAATCCATGAGACCCACTTGGTGTCCCACATGCGGAATCTGGAAAGGTTGAGGAGTTAATGCACCATGGGGAAAACCTTTCACCAATGAGATACAAACATTGAGGGGTAAATTCTTCTCCTTGGGACAGATTGTCCCGGGATGCAGTATATCATACACTCTCTTGAGAGGGAGCTTTATGAGATTAAGCAATCAGTTGCGCTTGTTATCACGTGATGGCCAGCTTGGAAATACAACCTTGAGCTAACTTAACCCTGTTTTTTGGCTGCACCTTCTTTTACCTAACTCCTGCTCCCAGGGATTGCACTCTCTGAAAAAATATAGCACATAAGCTTCAGCTTCAAGCTCTAGGTTCTGGGGGTACTCAGGTGTAGCAGACACTGTGGATGCTCTGCCAATTTTCCTCTTAGCATTTACCACAATACTTCACGCTGGCGGGATTCCAACTGCCAGTTTCTGCATCTCTTTTCCCAAGGGTTTTTCTGGCAGCCAGAGCCTATTCTGCACTCATTCATGGCAAGCTGAATGTGCCAGAGAATTAATGGCCTGTGGGAGCATACCTCCAACAATGACTGACAGAAATTGTTGTTTAAATACCCAGATTCCTTACACCCTTTGTGGGATAACTCTGAGCTGTGATACCTTCTAGATGGGCCCTGGAGTTCCTCAGTGGAATTAAGTCTGGTTTCCCACAGTATAATTTGCATAATAATGCAAGCTTGATGGGTTGCTTTCCATTTTACTTTCTCTACCAGTATATTCTGGGGTCACCTCCCAAATAAAGTTGCACTTGAATTATTGACTTGGGGTTTGGATCTATGGGAACCCAAACCAAGACATCAGCCTAAGATCTAAGATAAAATTTTTCTTCTCCTTCTCCTTCTCCTTCTTCTTCTTCTTTTTTTTTTTTTTTGAGACAGAGTCTCACTCTGTCACCCAGGCTGGAGTGCAGTGGCATGATCATGGCTTATAGTGCAGCCTTGACCTCCCCAGGCTCAGGTGATCCACCCATCTCAGCCTCTGAGTAGCTGGGACCACAGGTGTGTGCCACCACACCCGGCTAATTTTTGTATGTTTTGTAGAGACGAGGTTTTGCCATGTTGCCTAGGCTGGTCTTGAACTCCTGGGCTCGAGTGATCTTCCTGCCTTGGCCTCCCAAAGTGCTGAGATTACAAGTGTGAGCTACCATGCTGGGCCAAAAGACATAATTTTTTTTAAAAGAGTTATAAACTGACTTTTAAAATGTAATAGTATATCCTATTCATGACATTAGATATTCTGAAAATTTTCTAAACTATATGGTTTAAATGCTACATGATATTTATCATGAATTAACAAAATTTATGAAATTAACATATTGGATATTTCCACTGTTTCCAACTTTTTTATCCAACTGTAATTGATCCAGCACTAAACAGAGCTAGTTGAGCTTTGTCCCATGGGTCAGAATTACAAATTAATAAGCCACAGATGGATCATTTGTACACATGATGGAAAAGAAATACTCCATATGGAAATTTCCCCTGACTTCTATTTAATGTTTTTTGAAGATTGCGGTGTAGAATGGGTCCTTAGAGAAAAATCAAAGGATTCTCGATAATATTCTACTTTAAAAGAAAATGAATTGCATCCAAACTTTCATTAAACAAGTTACTATCTCTGTCTCATCTCTCTTTGAAAATAAATGACTACTAAAGCTCAGTATGTGGTACTTTGCTACCTTATGGATTGTTTTATTCTGGGGCAAATTGGACTTTTGCTTACAAAGGACTGTACTTCTTTCACTGTAACACAATTAGGAAGTCTTTACAGTTTTATTCCAGCTCCCTGAAATGATCTGAGGTCAGCTAAGTAACTTTACTGAGCTTTGCATTCTTCTTATTTGTACATTGGGGATAATAATATTCCCTTTACTAAATAACATGTCAATAGAGTACATGGCACATAGTAATTGCCTTGTAAGTGATAACAATTCTTATTTTACAGTGACGTCTTTTTCAATGGTGAAAGGAGTAGCAGAGAGTGGGGCCTAAGAAATATTAAGGGGGGTGTAGGGACAAGACACACAGATGTCTAGTTAGATTCAGGGGACATGAATGGTTCTCTGCTCAAAGATACCTCCTTTACACATTCTTCCTGTTGTGACAAACTTGGTCCCATACCCCTGAATGATCCCAGCCTTTCTACCCAAATCCTACTATAATCTAGCTCAGTACTTCTCAAAGTGGATTAGCAGAATCAGCATCACCTTGGAACCGGTTAGAAATACTAATGATCAGTTTCTGCTCAAGAGCTGCTGAATAGAAACTCTGGGCGTGGTGCCCAGTAAGATGTGTTTTTAAAAGCCCTCCAGGTGATACTGGATGCACATTAAAGTTTGAGAAACGCTGATCTATCTTGAAACTTTAACCAGACCTACCCAGTCACTCCTCGCATAGCCAGCTCCTGGAGTCCTGCCTAATTCAGATTCCCCCCTCTTCTAGCTTTCATTCTGAGCTCTTACTATTTGTTTTGTCTCAACTATGCATTGCTCTCCAGCTCTGATTTTGATAGCTCATCTTTAGCTTCATTCTAAGATGTTGGTTCTGACATATAATGTGATTTTGGCTTGCTCCTTGGTATCTGCGTGCTTGCTCCAATTTATTTTGGTGCAGTTTATCTCCTGGGACTTCAGTCTTTCTGGAGCTGGACCAGGAGGCCAATATTTCTACTGAGTTCCAACTCCTGCAGCAGGATTTGCCCATTACCAGCCCAACTTTCACGCTCAGTACTGCCCTGGGCTCTACAGCATGGGAGAAATAGAAGAACCTCTGCTTCTAGGACTCAGTCAAATGCGTAGTTCTTGCTTTGACTTTACCCCAATTTCTATCTGGAGTTCCTGCCTTCATTCCTAGCTCAGTGCCCCATTTCTTCTGGAGCTGGAGTTCTGCCTGGCTCTTTCATTACTCTTAGTAGCTGGACTCTTGCTCTTTAGTCAGTATATTAATGATGTATTTCTGCATTAAAATTACTCCCCAAACTTACTGGCTTAAAGCAGCAATAAACACTTATTATCTCACAGTTTCAGAGAATCTGACATTCAGGAACAGCTTTGCTAGGTGATTGTGGCTTGAGGTCTCTCATGAGGTTGCAGTCAAGCTATCGAAGGGATGAAGACATGGCTGGGGATGGATGTACTGCCTCCAGGGTGGCTCACTCATGTGGTTGAAAAGCTAATGCTGGCTATTGTCAATAAGACCCAGCTCTTTGCCATCGATATGTCCCCATAGGACTGCCTGAGTGTCCTCATGACATGGCATCTAGCTTCCCCTACAGTGAGTGATTGAAGAGAGAGTAAGACATGCTTTTTAGGATGTAGTCCCTGAAATCATAAACCATGATTTCTGTCACAATTTATTTGTTAGAATCAAGTCATTAAGGGTAGTCTACACTCAAAGGGACAGAAATTAGTCCCCACCTTTTGAAGGGATGAGTGTCAAATAATTTACAGGCGTATTTTCAAAACACCATAGTTAGTCTTTGGAGAAATCTTCCTGCCAGTATCACTCAGTTATTAAGATGCTGCACTTTGCTGGCCCATTTCTGGCAAATTCTAGAGGCTGACCTTTGTCTTTGTCCAGGTATTCTGTACTCTACACCAGACAAATAGCCCTTTTAATCTTTTTCAGTACTTAATCTAGGTTGAATTGATATTGAAAGGAACTTATATTAATTATAAAATTCAGCCATTTATTGAGTACTTACTGTAGGGATTGACAACAGGTACATTTGGTCATTCCCTTATTGCCTGTTTTTAACTTGGTGAATGTGACATGTCCTAACAACAAATGCCTTTGTCAATAAGATAATAATTTGAGTTAATAAGTTTGAGTTTTTTGTATGCTAACAAGTCTCCAGCTGCCACATAAATGTATCCAGTTAGAGCATTACACAAAGCTGTCCAGCTGAGGGTCAGTAGTGGCTAAAATCCAGCTCCCACTCTGTAAGCCATAGAACACCCTGGTTGGGGTTGCATGTGCCTAGAGGAAAGGGAAGTTTTTCTAATGAGGACTGTGAAAATAAATAAAAATCGAAACTGTTGGAACTTTAAATTATTTTGAGTCTTAGAGAAATGTGATTATGGGGCCTGAGTCACATGATAGGCAGCTGTAACCCAGGCAGCTTTAACCTTTGTTTCTCCGATTATAGATTAGCCTTCTTCCTTAACTATCTTGTTTTGTAAAATGTTGTGACTAGCTACAGGGCACCAGGGCAGACCCCTTCCCTCTAACTGTTGATCTTCATTACAGATTAGCTTTCCTCTTACCTCTCATACAAATACTTCATGGTTATCACATTGTCTAAGACAAAATGTTAAGTATACTTTTTTATTTTATTGAAAAGGAAATACAAACAAGCTGTATGGAAAAGAAAACAAACTGTCACTAATTCAATGGTTGCAACTCATAAACCAGCCTCATATAAGAAATGTAACCCTGTTAAATTTCTTTGTTTTGTTCCTGTGTAAGCAAAACCCTAACTTTTAACTGCAGAGCACTGACCTCATTTCTCCAGAGTCTGTGTTTACCAGATGACCATTACCAGCTTTTCACTTGAATAAACTCTTTAAAAATGGATTCTGATCCTTTTGATTATTTCAGGTTGATAGCACAAATGTTCCATCAATTTGCTGAGCCTTAAACCCACAGGGCTGTACCCGACTAGGACTTTTTTTTTCTTCTTCTAATTCTTTTGTAGGTGTGAATAGGCTAACAGTGGCCCTGGTTGTGTCTTTTTCCGTCGCACATGAGAGAAACCCAACTCAAACTGGTTTTAGAAAAAAAGTAACTTAACTGACAAACCTAGGCTTTGTATTGGCTTTAAACATGGCTGGATCCATCTATCCCAAGTCATGTTATCAGGAATCTGTTTCTCTCCTCTTGGATCTGTTTTCTCTATGTTAAGATTGTTTTCAGGAAGATTCCCTACATGTGGTGGCAAGTTGGTCAAGTTTACTCACTGTCCTCTTGGCAATCCTAGGACAAAAGGAAGTTTTTCTTCTGGATAGTTCCAGCAAAAGTCCTGTGATGAAGTCTCACTGGCCTATTTCTGAACCAGTCATTGTAGCATTGACCATGAAATTCTCTATTTAGCTGGACCTTCAGTCTTTGCATATTTCTGGACTAGGAGAGTTGGTCCTACCTCATTCAAACCACTAAGATTGGGAGTTGGTAGTTATCTAAGGAAAGGTTGGATTTTTTTTTTAATCAGAAGAAGAGGGACACAGATCATGGATGGATTAAAAAAATTGTATTTTCTATACAATCATTGGATTCACACATTGGTGTAACTAGTCATTATAGAGCAGAATTGCAGAGAGGAAACTGAGTCCTCAGTCAGGGCTCCCAGCAGTACATTGCAGCCTGGGTTTGAAGAATGCTCATGGTATACTTTGGATGTGTTATTTCTTGATATCACCAGTCTTTCCTTTAGCCTTCTTACGCTGGCTTATTTCTGAGTATTTTTCTGAGGACTGGGAACTGATATCACAGGTACTCACTCTTCTGAAGGGAGTCCAAAGAGTATTTTTCTCCTCATATATAGGAGGTAGGTTGATCTACCTAAGAAAAGGCTAGAAGGAAGCTTAGAACTCTGGTGCTCTAAGAAATTCCAGTTGGTTGTGCCACTTCTCAAAACTCAAAAGTTTGATTACAAAGCAAGTGCACTAGAGGAGTTTGAGGAGTCACTTGAGTTTACCCTGTTTCAGGCCATATGCTTTGGGATGGTTCATACTTGGATCAGGGCGCTAAGCCAATCAGACAACTGCATTTCTCTTTCTTCAGTAATTGATTAGGAAACAGAGTGACAATTCAAGCGCAGCCAATGCTTCTCAAAGAGGCTTTACCTGATTTTTTTGGGAAAGGGATCTTTTCTTTTGTCTGTTTACTTCCTGCAGGCCTTGAACTTGAAAGCATGCAAAGCTGGAGCTTTTGTAATCAACTGAAAACCATAAAGGCAGTCTGTTCTGTAGGTAGAGCTGCCAGTGCAGAGGATGTTACAGATGAGAGACAGAGAGAAAAATACCCAAGACCTGGTGACATGGTTTCAGCCCCTAGAGCAAGTCACTCCTGGACTTTTCAATTGTGAGACCCAGTAAATTCCTTGTTTTTCATGGTTTCCGTGACTTGCAAACAAAAGATCCCCAGCTGATGCATCCTGACACCAAGCTGCTCCAGTAATTACAGAGGTCCAATAAGGCCCGAGTCCTATGCTTAGCACCAAAGCTCAGTTTTCCTACACTCTAAACCTTAATATCAGAATTCCATTTAGTCCCTTCACCCTGCTGAGCATGTTCCTCTCTTTGTAAATCTCTGATAATAAGTTATGCCACCCACCACCTACAGAGGTTGAGGACTAATTAAGAACACTTGTGAAATCTTTTGTTTTCATAAAATGTTAGCAAAAGGGCTCTGTACATTAATATCTCTTACTCTTGATTCTCCTGACTTCTTTTTAATGTCCCTTTTACAAAATAAAAATTGTTTTTTAAAAAATGACTATCTAGATTCCCTTCTCAAGGTGTAAACAGCTAAACTAAAAATATTTCTCTCTCTGACAAGAGGTGAGAAGATTTAGGGCTGGACTGGGTCTCTCTTTTCTGTTCATTTACTTTTCTTCCTCAATCTTTCTAAATTCTTGACTTTTGGGTTTCTGGTACTGGAAAGATATGCAGTTATTCAGAAAATGCCAACATCAGTGAGCTGTCAACTTTACTTATTTGTGTTAAATCTAGGTTTGTTACCAACTGGTATCATTTTGAGAAAATATTCCATTGATTTGTGTGAGTTAAGTAGATTTAGTATGGAGGAAATTAACAAGATACAGACACCAGGAAAGAAAAGGAAAGTGAAAATATATTGGGAAGGAAGAGGAGAGAGAGAGAGAAGCTAGGAAGCAACATGAATTGAGTCAGAAAATATACTTGGATTAACCTGTGACCATGATGTCAAATTTTGGTTGGATAATAGAATATAGGTAGGGGTGCCAGATTTAGCAAACAAAAATACAGAACACCCAATTAAATTTAAATTTTGGAAAATGAATACTTTAAAAATATAAGTATATCCCACTTAAATATTACATGGCAATGCTAAATGTGAGATTATGGGGATTTTTCTTTTCTAGAGACAATGGGTTATCTTGTTAGCATCCTGGAACCTATAGGTGATACAAACTGCAGTTATTAATAATATGGTAAGACCATAGGATAGTTGCATTATAAGTTCTTGGAACATATAGCCTCTTCCTTGTTTCAACAAATGCCCTTAGCAGGACGAAGTATTCATATGTTCTTTCTTACCTCTCATTTAAGCACTATGACTATACTGTATGTAGTCATTTTATATATGTATATATTTTATATATGTATATGTATTTCATATATACATTTTATATATTGTACAGAAAATGTATATATAATACATATATAATATATACATAATATATAATATATACAATGTATATATTATACATATACATAATATATACAATGTATATATTATACATATATGTAATACATACATAATATATAATATATACAAAGTGTATATTATATATGTATTATATATACATTTTCTGTACAATATATAAAATGTATATATGTATTATGTATTATAATATATGTATTATATGTTATACATAATATATACTACATATAATATATACAATGTATATATTATATCTGTATTATATAATATATACAATGTATATATTATATCTGTATTATATAATATGTACAATGTATATATTATATCTGTATTATATAGTATATACAAGGTATATATTATATCTGTATTATATAATATATACAAGGTATATATTATATCTGTATTATATAATATATACAAGGTATATATTATATCTGTATTATATAATATATACAAGGTATATATTATATCTGTATTATATAATATATACAAGGTATATATTATATCTGTATTATATAATATATACAAGGTATATATTATATCTGTATTATATAATATATACCAGGTATATATTATATCTGTATTATATAATATATACCTGGTATATATTATATCTGTATTATATAATATATACCAGGTATATATTATATCTGTATTATATAATATATACAAGGAATATATTATATCTGTATTATATAATATATACCAGGTATATATTATATCTGTATTATATAATATATACCAGCTATATATTATATCTGTATTATATAATATATACCAGGTATATATTATATCTGTATTATATATACATTTTCTGTACAATAGATATTATGTAAATATGCCTGAGGAGGTCACTTTTCCTTCGTGTTGTTTTATTAGTGGCAAATATGTTATATATAAAATAATTATATATAATTAGTTAAAATATATAAATATATGACATATTTTTATATATTTTATGTATATATATATTTATTATAGAAAGTGAGACAGGGTCTCACTTTATTGCCAAGGCTGGAGTTCAGTGGTGTGATCTTGGTTCACTGAAGCCTCCACCTCCCTGGTTCAAGTGATTCTTCCGCCTCAGCCTCCAGAGTAGCTGGGACTACAGGTGCACACCACCATGCCCAGCTGATTTTTGTATTTATAGTAGAGATGGGGTTTCACCATGTTGGCCAGGGTGTTCTCAAACTCCTGACCTCAAGTGATCTGCCCACCTTGGCCTCCCAAAGTGCTGGAATTATAGGCGTGAGCCACTACGCCTGGCCACAAAACTTTTTATTATGAAAAAATTTCAAATGCACGCAAATATGGAAAGAATTGTAATAAATGTTTATTACCCTGCTTGAACATTTGCCAACATTTTGTTTATCTTATCTGATATATTCTCTCTACTACCTTTATTTTGCAGGAGTATTTTAATGAAAATCCCAAATTTTGTGTCACTCTTAGATACTATGTTTCCTTAAATTTTATATTTCCTTTTCTGTTCTAAAGTATATTGTCTTAGTCTCTTTGGGATGTTATAATAAAATACCTTACAAACTTATAAACAATGGAAAATTATTGCTCAGAGTTCTGAAGGCTGGGAAGTTTAAGATCAAGGCGCCAGCAGATTTGGTGATGGCCCTTTCTTCTAGATGGTGTCTTCTATCTGAGTCCTCACAGGTGGAAGGGGCAAACAAGTTCCCCCACGCCTCTTTCATAATGGCATTAATCCTACTGATTAGGGCTCTACCCTAAAGACCCAGTCACCTCCCAAAGGCCCTACCTCTTAATACCACCACTCAGGGGATTAGATTTTAATATATGAAATTGGGGGAACACAAACATTCAACCATAACATCTATCTCTTCTGTTGCCAAGCTTTCACTTTTCACCTCTATTTCCCTTCATAAACTAATAAATATAAAAGTATTCTCTCCCCTCACAAGATAATATCTCTTGCCTTTTTCCTCTCGGAGTGTTCCTGCGGTTTGTGATCTCTCTTAGCTCTGGTAGCCTGTTCAGGCCTTAAGGTATCTGTTCGGTATTATGTGGTCAAGTAGCTGGGACCACAGGATCACAACACCACGTCTGGCTAATTTTTTTTTTTTTTTTTTTTTTTTTTTGTAGAGATGGGGTTTCGCTATGTTGGCCAGGCTGGTCTCAAACTCCTGGCCTCAAGCAATCTTCCAGCCTTGGCCTCCCAAAGTGCTGGGATTACAGGTGTGAGCCACCACGTCTGGCTTGGAGGGCTTATTAAAACACCGATTCTTAGCCTCACCCCCAGAGTTTCTGGTTAGTAGGTCTTGGCAGGGCTGGAGAATTTGTATTTCCACACCTTCCTTGGTGATGTGTTGTTGGTAGTTCAGGGAGTACATGTGAGAGGAACCGTTTAGATAGTAAAAACTGCAAACCTGAAGAAGAATAGAAGAATCCTTATTCTGTGCTCTCTTAGATTTAGTTTCCTCATCTATGATCAATAACTATTCATTTCTTCCTCATTTCCAATAACGATTTGCTGCTTTTAAGAGCAAGAGATCACTTTTCCTTCATGTTGTTTTGCTAGTGGCAAATCAGAAATGGTTTCGCCAGTATTCACTGATCTTGTAATCACTCTCGGAATCCAGCTGCATCTCTAGTGTAGAGTTTTGGGTCAACAAGAATAATGCTGAGCTTAAAGAATTGGACTCAGTCTCTTGAAGTCAGGGGTTGATGAGAAGGTGGCTCTAATCTATTCATTCAACAACTTCCTATTGAGCACCTGCTATGTGCCAGGTGCTGTTCTAGCCACTAAGATAGAGCAGGTAATAACATAGGGCCATTGTCCTTATGGAATTTGTATTTTAGTGGGGTGAATAAAAAAGGGCAGTCTAGGTGGGGCCCAGAAATAGAAAAATAGAAAAAATATAGTGACGAGTCAAAGTTAAATAATAACCTGTATTTTTCTCTCATAATTCTGGAGTCCAAAAACCTCATGTCATTTCCACTAGGCTAAAGGCAAGGTGTTGGCAAGACCACACTCTCTCTGGAGACTCTGGGGGAGAATTCTTTTTGTCTTTTCCAGCTTCTAGAGCTTAATTTCTTAGCTCGTGGCCCCTTCCTCCATCTTTAAAGCCCGCAGCATAGTATTTTCAAATCTCTCTTTCTGCTTTCATCACATTGCCTTCTCTTTCTCCTATTGTGCCAATAAGAGAAGATAGTTCGGGGCTGTGAAGACTGTAGACACAAGGTGGAAGATGATCCAGGAAGGAGGATGGGAATAATATTGGAAAACAGTGATCATAATCTGCTACTGGTGTCACATGAAGTTGTGTGGTCATATAGCAAAAAGGATAAACATTTATGAGAAGTTTTTCACTTGCTAGGAGTTTTACAGCCATTCCTTCTTTAAATTTCACAATAACCCTTTGAAGGATATACTGTTTTACACATTAAAAAAACCTAAGGCTCAAGGTACAACTTGCCCCAGATTGGATGGTCAATAAGTGGTAACATCAGGATTACAAGGTAAGCAGCCTGCCTTTACAGCAGAAACCTAAAGAAAGCTTTGCTACTCTAAATATGTTCTGTGGACTAGCAGCCCTAGGGTCACCCAGGAACTTGTTGAAATTGCAGTCTCAACCTCCACCCTAGACTTGCCGAATCAGAATTTGTATTTTAACAAGAGCCCTATTGATCCAAATACACCTTAAAGTTTGAGAAATATTGCTAACCAAGCACTATATTTGAAATGCAGTGAAACTACATTTTCAGCTGCTGTGAAGCTGGCTGAAATATCTTCTTTTTTGGTCTTTACTCCAACAATATTAGGAGGCCTAGTCTGATAAGTCATTTGGCTAAGCAAATAACAATTAAGAAAACCATGAACCTCCCCAATTTCATGTCTCTGGGTCTAACAAAGGACACCACAGTGTATTCTAAACAGCAGTTACTTGTCTGCTGAGAGCTAAAATATTTGCTGACTCAGTTATTTCTCTCATCTCTGTGTGTGGCAAGTTCTAGTGTGATAAATTATGGAGGAGAGAGTTATTACAACACTCTCTCTTACATCAGATGATAGTGTTAGGCATATTTTGGGCACTGCAATCATTGCACAGCAGGTAGAGAATCTTTCATAATTATTGTGCTTATAAAATATGCTTATTTATAGAAGCTTGTTTTTACCCCAGGTCCTTGTTAGGCTGTTACTCCATTGCTAAACCTCAGAGTGTGTAGTTTTGGCTGAATCAAGAAATAGAATAATAGAACAGAAGATGGCTGGTAGACTAATGTTTATTATGGACCACTTGCATTAGAATTACCTGGTGCTGGTTAAAAATGTAGATCTTGGTCGGGTGCGGTGGCTCACGCCTGTAATCCCAGCACTTTGGGAGGCTGAGGTGGGTGGATCACGAGGTCAGGAGTTCAAGACCAGCCTGGCCAACGTGGTGAACCCTCATCTCTAATAAAAATGCAAAAATTAGCCAAGCATGATGATGCGTTTCTGGAATCCCAGCTACTCAGTGAGGCTGAGGCAGGAGAATCGCTTGAACCTGGGAAACAGAGGTTGCAGTGCACTCAGATTGTGTCATTGCACTCCAGCCTGGGCCACATAGTGTGACTCTTTCCCCCATCCCCACATAAAAAAACATGTAGAACTCTGGGTCCCACCTGGAAAATTAGTTTCTAGGGGTAACACCTAGGAATTTTAACTTATAACATGCTTATCAGACAACTCTCATATAAACTAATCTTTGAGAATTATCATTGTATACCATCAGACCTAACCTTTGTTATTATATGGATTAGGAATCAGAAAAAGAGAGTAGTATAATGACTTTCAGTGCCTCACTTAGAGTTACATTTCCCATTTCCTTTTATTATATACATGGATATGTATATATCAGTCTGGTATAGATAGCTGGCTTTTTAGGAGAAACTTTTAGATCTACTAGTATCTAATAAAGGCAGGGCTAGCTGCTTGTGAGTCGCTGAATGTGGGATAGGCAAGTGGGTGCTAAAGAAACAGTAGTTAAACTTAAAACATCTCCTCTCATGTGATAATAAGCAACCATTTGTCACCTGAAATAACAAATCCACAGGATTTAACTAGAGTTAAGACAGCTGGCTGAGTTCCTTGAGCGATATGACATCGTGCCACAAATTGCCAGGAGGGGACAGCAGAGAGCTGCCAAATGGCCGTAGATGCCAGGTGAACCAAGGTTATCAGTAAGGAGGACGTTAGAATAGCAGCCAGGTGAACCAAGGTTATCAATAAGGAGGAGGTTAGAATAGCAGCCAGGTGAACCAAGGTTATCAATAAGGAGGAGGTTAGAACAGCAGCCAAGAGCTGGCTACCCTAGGTGTGTCTGCTGGGGACACACCTAATTTGGGCAGGCTGAAACTTAGCCTTAAATGAGGAGAGCTGAGCCTGAAGCAGAGGCAGTTACCTACCCCCATGAGAAAAGGCAATGTCTGGGCCAGTGAGTGGAAGAGAGAAGCTGAAGTCAGGAATGCAAGCTGGCAAGTTAGGAGCGGGGGTAAGCGGTGAGTGTGTCGGAATGGGATAGCTAATGGGCTGCCAGGGAGTACCAGCTTCTTCAGAGGTAGTTATCCTGATTCGCAGTATTCTGAGGGGTAATTGTCCTGGTAAGATCAGGAAACAGTCGGGCTTCTGACAAAGAACCACAAATTAAAACCATAACCATATTATTTAAAAACCTGGAACCCAATCCCTTATTTGAAAAACCCTTTGGTAGTGAGATTTTCAAATTATTTTCAGAAAATGCCTTAGTATTAAAAACAAACAAGACAGTATATGATTAAATACTGCAATTATAGTGTAATCAATACTTGCTCAAAAAGTTTCAGTAAAAGGGGAGACCAATGAAGCTTTGAGTGGCCAAGGAGGACTTCTTTAAGGAAGTGGAATGTGATGATCCTTAATGGATGAGTATGACTTAGGCATGGAGGATATTCAGTGAGGCAAGGGAGAAAAGCTCAGTCTGTTTGCAGGCTTGTGAGGAGGTCACTCATCTGTTTCCAGAGTGCCTTGAGTATGCTGTGGGCTGGGGCATAAAGACATTAGTTTGACCTTTGATAAACTTGGTTTTGTTTGGATGGTTTCCAACAAGTTCTGAAGCAACAGAGTCCAGCTTCTTTAAACAACAGCAGTGTATCATTTACTTGAGGAAGTAAGTATTGATGCCACTTGCATCTGACATAGGTAGCTTCCAATTAGATAGTTTGCTAGGGAAGATATAGTGCCTGATTCCTTCCAGCTGGGGCACCATAATCTTGCCTCTGAATAGATAGAATGTAGTCAGTTCCTGTCTGGATATATAAAAGATGATAAAAGGTTTTTCTGAGAATGCTGTAATGAGAACCAAGTACAGTTAACTATGCAGTTATACAATGAAGGACACAAGTGATACATCTTCTACCCACTAATGGGCTGGTGATTATCACTGTAATTGTGGTCTAGAAATTAGTTATGACTCAGTGGGTAGACTTTCTTTGTATATCCCATCTCTCTAAATAATAGATCATGTTTGGCCTTTGCTTATGCATTTGTCTAGAATATGTCCTTTTCAATTTTTTTAAATTAAGAAATTTATTTTATTTTTATTATACTTTTAAGTTCTGGGATACATGTGCAGAACATGCAGGTTTGTTACATAGGTATACATGTGCCATGGTGGTTTGCTGCATCCATCAACCTGTCATCTACATCAGGTATTTCTCCTAGTGCTATCCCTTACCTACCCCACAACCCCGTGACAGGCCCTGGTGTGTGATGTTCCCCTCCCTGTATCCATGTGTTCTCATTGTTCAACTCCCACTTTTCAATTTTTTATAAAAGTTGTCATGCCCTTCCAATATAACTCTTTAAAGCAGCAGTCCCCAACCTTTAAGGCACCAGGGACCAGTTTTGTAGAATACAGTTTTTCCATGGAAGGTAGGGGTGGGGATGGTTTCGGAGGCAGTAGATTCTCATAAGGAGTGTACAACCTAGATCCCTCGCATGTGCAGTTCAAAACAGGGTTTGTGCTCCTGTCAGAATCTAGGGCTGCTGCTGATCTGACAGGAGCTCAGGCATGGATGCTCCCTCACTCACCACTCACCTCCTGCTGTGCTGCCTGGCTCGTAACAGGCCATGAAATGTTACTGTACCTTTAAAACAGGGTGCCCCTGTTTTAAAGCACTACCTCGTATTCAGGTTGGTGACACAGCAGCTCTTGTTTCTCCAGTGTAGAATGTTTCTCAACGTTATTATTATTACTGTTATTTTTGGTCTGAGCAATTTGAAAGACTAACCTCTTTTCCATTTGTAGCAGTGGCTCTCTGTGGTAGTGATTCTTACAGAAATGGAGATAGGGTTGGGGTGAAGTAGGAAAGGACATATTACCCATCCCCAAGGGGCACATCACAGAGATTCTGAAAAATCCTCTTCTCTTCTTGAGGTGCTTTTAGCTAAGGAGCATTGCTATAACTTCAGGATTCAGGATACTGTGTTGTATGTATGTATATAGTCATAGATGTCTTGCAGTAATTTGTGTGTCTCTTTCTGCTGTTGGTTTGGGAAGGATGTTTTAAAGGCTTTTGGTGAATCCCTTTGGTGGGTTCAATCACTTCCCATTTGAGATCTAACATGAAGGCACATTCCTTATTGGGCAGTAACAAGGATGCCAGGATGGTTCTTGGACAACACCTCTATATTTCTTCCTGACAACTTGTTTAGAGGAAGCTCAGAGATGGTTATTTAATCATTTAATGCCCAATACTGGGATATGCATTCTTTCAAGAAGGTATTTCCTTCTAAGACATTCCTCAATGTCTCAGGACATCCATAGAAAATTATTTGAAGAAGATTTTAAAAAAAAGGGTAAGGTCAGTTTTTTGAAGCTACATGAAACAAGAAGGATAACTTAGATGAAAAGAAATGAACCACTTGATGGCCTCCAAATGGCAGAGAGTTATTAAAAGTAATTAACAAATCAAATCACAGGTGAACACAGCTTTAGTGAGTCCCGGCCAATAGTTTAAACAGTCCTTATAGGTTTATGCTTATTTTCTTTTGAATAGATTATCCACTCTCTTCTTTTCCTCACCCATTGTGCCTCTGCAAAGTGGTGGTGGGTGCATTAGAGGGTGTGGCTTATGTGACCTTGGCTGGTTGTTGTTGGTGGTGGGGTGACATTCTTGAACTGCGGATTGTTTTCTGGAATCACTGTGATCTCTCTGGCAGAAGGGCTGAGCTGGGTTGCTCCTCAGCTTGGAGAACTCCAAGGACAACAAGTTCTATCAGAGGGGTGTTCCACTGATGTCTGCCGTTGATGTTTTCTGCTTCTCTGCTCCCATGATCTGGCCGCTCTTATTGCACGAGGTTTCCCTGTTAACTTAGCCCCCACCTTGGTTCTTGCTATGCTATGGGTAACCATGAAGTCTGGCTGGGACTCCTCCATTGTGATCACTTCTGCGAAACTTTCCAGACTGATTTTCAAGAGCTTTGGGAAGCTTCTAGTCCCGCTCATGGGACCAGAAGGCAGCTTTGGAGAGTTAACTGAGGCCTTTTCTCTGCCTAATTGTTTCTCATCAAATTTGATTTGAGGCCAAGTGCTCACCCTGGTGCAAGGGCAGATTGAGGAGTATTTTTCTTGTTTGCAACCACAAGCTGAACAGAAGTCTTTTCCTTTTTGGAAATTCCCTTAACTCCCTTTTACTATAACTCTAATCTCTGGGACTCTAAGCCACAGAGGTGAGACTGAGATAGATCTTGCCTTCCTCTACCTCCTTTGTTAATTATACCATCCCTCAGGTTGAAAGTGAACAACTTTGGGCTTTCTATCTTCTCTACATTTTATATTCTTTCTGCCTAGGGCAGCAAGCCTCATGGTGAGCTAAATATACAAGGAGTAGCTTCCCTAAGGTGTATCCTGGCTCAACATGTGGTCCATGGGTCAACAGCAGTGGTAGCACCTGGAAGCTTATTAGAAATGCAGAATCTCAGGCTCCACCTGGCCTGAGATGGATCAGAATTTGCGTTTTTAAACAAAATCCCCAGGTGACCTATATGTATATTAAATGTTTAGAAGCACAGGTGTAGAAGAAACTGCATGATCTAGCTTACTTAGGCTTAGGCCTCAGTAAGTTAATGAGGGTTAAAAAGACTTAGGAAATCTTTTTTCTCTTGAAAAAGCTTGCTTTTATAAACCATTAAGTTGCTACAAAATCCTATTTTGGAATTTTGAAGCTGAATATTAACTGTTTTTCTTCTTGCATAATTGCGATAATAATCATTAGCCTTCTCAAGGGAAATAGATGTTTCTGGCAGACTACAGGAAGTTCAGTATGTGGAAATGCAAAAGAGAAAATTATTTTATATTAAAATATTCTTATTTTGAAAAAAGAGAAGAAAATAATGAGAGATGAATAAAATGGTTAAGTTGGTCACAATATAATTTGTTATACTTAAGTTTTTCTTTGATAACTTATGTATATAAGCTATAAAAGAGTTATATAAAAGTTATATAAGGTTATGCTGATACTGTGCAGTTTGTTAGCAGAAAGCAAATTGATTTGTGTCATTATATTCATGCATCTTAAAGTGTATTTCACCAAAATGCTCTAAAAAGGGAGATTTCATAATCAAATTAGTTTGGAAAATGCTGTAAATTATATATTCCTCTTGAAGACTTGCAGTAAACATTATCATTATAAAGATGCTCCAAAGTCCTGCGAAGAATCCTTCTAACCTTATTTAACAGTTTCCAAAACTCATTTGACCATGGAATCCTGTTTCATGTAATATCCATTAGCATACCACATAACTTGTGTTTTCTGAAACATGTTTTAGAATATTCTAAAAACTCTTATATTAACTATAAAATGATTGCTAAGTCTAACTTATGGTGTCCTGAAATTCCACCTGGTAACTCATAACTAGTCCAGACTGACCCAAGATTCTTTTCACTCCTCAGTAAAGTCGAGGGGCTATAGGATCTACCGAACTCTCTTGAGGCAATGCAACCACCCTTGCCTCCCCAGTCCTGGACCCAGCTGCTGTGCCTTAGATGTATTTGTATCTGGTTCTTGTTTTTTGCCAATTTCATCAACCTATTCAGCTGACATCACTGATTGCTTGCCTTTTCATTTGGTTTCACCCCAGATGCTACCTCTTAGATCTCTTTGAAATTGAGAACCAAACAGGTGATAAATAAGCCAACATCTTCCACCCATAACCCAGCTCAGGCTCCCAGGCTGGATTCCTGAAATTCCTGCTGTTTGGGAGGAAAGTTGGACAATTACTGAAGTAAATATATCTTAATGAGTCAGTAATGATCACCTGACAGCTGTAAGGGACAAAGACATGGCTTTGCAAACCCAAAATGAGGATATGTCATTTGCAAAGAATTTCTATGTCACTCCCTGGCATAGTCTTGGAAAAATTTTCAAATTCAGTGTGAGGCCAGTCTTGCAATTTCAGGTTCTTTCCATTAGTATTCTATAGATGAAGAACATAAATGTTTAGAAAGTATGGTGTCTGAGAGATTTTTTCCCCCTTTTTCTCTTACACTGTAAAGAATCTTGTGTTTGAAAATTGAGCCTCATTCCACAGGAATGCGTACAGCCAGTTGTGTATAGACGAACATTAAATATATTCCACGGAACTAGTTTTGGTAAATATTAGTCAGAAGAAAGTCCTGTGGTCCAAAAAAGTTGGGAACTGCTGGAGATGTTAGTTGGAATATTGGTGGGGTTAAGATGGGATAAAAGAAATGCCAGAAAGCCAATGAGTTGTCAGAGAGTGGTTGAATCACATACCCAAGCTCATGCCATGGGCTTGTGGTACGTGGGATATGTTCGCTTGTCCCTGGACTTGGGTTTGGCTATATGTCTTGCCTTGGTCAATGGGATGTTAGCAGATCTGACATGAACAGAGGCTTGACATACGCTTGTGCAGGAATTTCCTCTGTGTAGTTGCTGCCACTTTAGGCTGGCTGGGCCCCAGAAGCTGACCTGAATCCAACTGATAGCTCAAAGTCAAGCCCAGCCAACTTTCAGCCTGAAGCAGAGGTGCCCAGCAGAGCCCAGCCTAGATCAGCCAAATTATAGTAACCAGCAGATTTGTAAGTGTTAGAACAAATGTTTGCTGTAGGCCATGAAGTTTTATACTGGGTTAAACAAAGTTAAACAAACTTCTCTATTATATTATTTCTTAAAGACTTTAATGTGCTAAGTACATGGCAAATCATTAAGATGATCATAGAGGGAAAGGCGTTTCCCGCTGGACCCTTATTTTTCAGAACAACACATCCTACCAACGCAGGTAGAGATATAACTAGAGTTAGCCCCTATGGGAAGAGTAAATGACCCTCTCTTCCCCCACCATCCTCCCAATGCAGCAGACGCACAGAGGTTCATTCTGAGAAGGATTGCTAACATAATGGCTTTCAAGGCAGAGAGCTATTGGGTCACAGGTTAGGAAGAATAGTTTGGGGTGTGAAGAGGGGAAAGGTGAAAATTTTGAGATTACTCCACATTTTATCTTCATGCACAAAGCTGTTAATATAGCTATATCAAATTATATCTATATCAAATTATATTCATTCTTTAAGACATGGCTTCAATGAACAGTATTAAGTGGAAGACGCACATAATCTCTCTGAGGCAAAGAATGTACCTAGATGTGAGGCATGTAAGAATGGGACTATGAGGTGTGACAATAAAGTAATCTATGAATTACCATGCCTGCTAGTCACTGGGATGTGTTTTCTAAGTTTATCAAGTGCATCACTTTCCTTTATGAGGGCTGTAATGGAGCTGTCGCCTCACTGAAAGGAGTCTTCTGCCTTTGGAAGGCCTAGGGTGGGCAACCTTGTCCTGCTCTGCCAGAGGTCTCAAGGGGAAATGTTAAATTTTCCTCCTGGGCACACGTGTTCTTGGGTTTCTCTTTCCTTCTTACTCTTCTCATTGGTGTGATAAAACCCAGATGCTAACTAAGATAAGGAGACCATAAAAGCCACTTGCTTCTAGCCTTTGGGACATAGGTTGGAAGAACTTTTTCTGTTTTTCCAGGGCCAGAATAGTAAATATTTTAGGCTTTGTAGGTCATAAAATCTCTATTACAACTCCTTATCTCTGTTGTTGTAGCATGAAGCCAGCCATGGATAATACTTAAATGAATGAGTGTTGGTTCCACTAAAACTTTATTTATAAAAATAGACAGAGGACAGGATTTGGCCCATGGACCATAGTTTGCTTCTTTGGATGATAAGTTCTTGCAGCTAGCATACTTCTGCTTTAAGCCCACCAAAGTGCATTGTAAAGAAAATGCATTTTTCTGAGATTTCCCCTATGCATATCTTCCTCATGAACCTGTGGCACAAAGTGTTGGATTTGCAGATCCTGGGTTTATGTCATTTTTTCTCTATCTTTTTCTTTTTCAGATAGGACAAAAATTAACTTGTGATGTTCTTGTGAGATGAGCATGTCCCATAATAGTTTCCCCTATTTTGCAAATGCTCTGTATTTACTTTTAAATTTTCTACAAAAGAGAGGATGTTGGAAAGCAATAGCAAAATAAATTGCAGTGAATTAAATATTACAACTTGGTTAACTGCAAAAAAAGGCAGTTAAATTAGTAAGATAACCATGACTGAGACATAAGACACTGGTGTATTGCTTGTGCTTTAGAAGGATAGTCAGCATATTTGGCTTTGTGATAGGGCCTACTGGCTTAGTAGAACTATGAATTCAACTCTACACTAATGAAACCCATATCATCTGTACAATAGCATTCCTGCATTTCTGTGCATTTGAAATTTTAATGACACTACCTCAAAATACGGCCTAGATTTCTTCCTTTTTGTGAATCTTCTAAGTTTTGTGCCATCACTACTTCTTATAGTATAACTGCAGATAGTGTGTTAAAGCAAGCTGAAATAGAGTTGCACAAGAAGTCTTGCCTGCTGTTGACGATCCACTTAATTGCCAGCTTTGCTAGATCACTCATCATGTAACCCCAAAACTTTTCTAAAGAAACAACCAGAATCAAGGGGAAAGATCTGACTGATGCCAGCATATGGCTGCACTTTTCTGCCTTTCCAATGGCCTCATTTTCAGATGTGCAAAGGCAAAGAGGTCCTAGGAACCTCCGGCTTAGTTCCACAGTGAGCAGTTTCTCCAGCGACTACGGGAATATGAAGAATGCAAGCAGAGAATTCTGGTACTAATTAAAAAAATCTCTATCTTAAATTTTACCCTATTGACTCTTAACTATGAAATATAATTAGATAATTTTCTGTCTGATTTTCTCCCCAGAGGTTATGTGTCCTTAAATCTCCTCATTTCAATGTCTAATGAGTAGGATCAGGTTCATGCTTATTAGCTGGTTTTCTTGAGGTCTATGAAGCCATTTCCAGGGTGAAAAACCACAGGAAATAGTCTCAATTAGGAGAATGTGAGTAACTTTCTTCTAAAAGAGTCCAAAGTAGTAGCAGGGGTACATTTTCTTTGGATTAGTTCTTGATTTCAGTATGTAAAACAGGCAGGTTTTCTGATAAAAACAACAAAGTAGAGTCTGTTCAATACGTGAAGGACTTTGTCAATGATCCAAACACCAACATGAGGTAGATTACTGTAATTGCTGCTTCTATGACATCTTTATGACAGTAATACCTTAAATGACCTAATGAGCTTATCAGAAGGGATATGTTTGGAAAAGCAGTTTATTTATGTATATAACATATTATATCTAATAAGGTCACAAGGTCAGATTTTATTTGCCTTTCTTTTGGGCATTCAGTGTCTATCTCACTTTTAGTACCAGTTCTTTGGGAATTTTATTGGTAAAATTTTACTCTCCGTCTTCAGAGAGAAACATGTTACCTAAGCCAGTCAACTCATCGCATGCCTTCTAGCTACAAAGATGAACTTTGATTGGGTCATAGGTTCATTGCTAAGCCAATGATATATGTTTGGACTGTCACTGAGACATGGGATGGAAAGAAGCAGTCTTTCTACTGGGCTTGAATTGAAGAGAATATAGATCTTTGCATTGTTGCAGTGTGTTGCTCTCATGTGAATGCTAAGACTGGGGTTAATACTTAGAAGACAGAGCCAGTAAATAAAGGTTTCTGGGAACATCCTTGAAGCCCTGATTAATCCATATCTGATTGCCCCCCTGACACAGAATTTTAAATTATATAAGATAATAAATTCCCTTCTTGCTTAAACCATGTTGGGTTATGTTTTCTGTTACTTGCAAGCAAACAAGGCCTAAATATTCAGATACAGATGACCACTGTTCAAGCTGAAAGGAACCTGAGGGTTGATCCCCTTCGACTTCTTATTTTACAGAAGGAGTAAGCCAGGGTAGGCACCTGTCACATAGTCTGGTGGTGGTAGAAGTACATCTAACATCTGGGTCTCCTTCCTTTCCTAACTTTAAATTAAGAACTATATCCATCATTGGAGGTGAGATATTTTTAAGAAAGTTGTTTAATTTTTTAAAATTATTAACCTTTAGATATGCCAGTTTTGATGTCAGTTCTCATATACATTTATCTTCTAGAATACAATCACTGCTGGCTTGCCAACTAAAGCAAACAAAAATAAGAGTGATTGTAACAGGCCTTTGGCTTATTTATCTGAGATTGAAAATATAATATCTCCTATGGCTATATGATGGGCCTGTAATACCCTGACCTCTGCTACCTCAAAAATACATCCTACCCACTGGCAGGGTAAGTTGATTTTGAACCCAACTCCCACAGTGACTTCTAATCAGCCTAAGCTCTGTGACCTGTGAAGCTGAGCCCCTATTCTGCATCTCCTGGAGATGGCCTCTGTTCAGGCAGTCACCTTCTCTGCTTTGAACCGAGCCCCTGGTCATCCCCAGGGTTGATGCAGAGTCTGATCTTCAGCCATATTTCCCTTCTGACCCTTGCTGCACTCTCTTTCCAGGAATGTTTATATATGATTTGAACTGTGGTTCTCCTTATAAACTTCTGCTTATGTTCCCTTCTGCCTCATTACAGAATGTTTATGGTGTTTTCCTGCAAAGGTGGCCCCCAGGACTCCTCTGACCACACTCCTTGGGAATTCTGGAATATTTCTTTTTCGGAAATAGAGCAATTGCCCTAATTGCTGCCCTCAGAATACATTTAGCTACTACAGAATACCTGAGGGCCTAACTGAGTTTATAGACTCAAGAAACAGTAAATATGAGCCAATGTTTAAAAACCTATGGATTTTATATTGTGAGTATCCAGTTTTAGTCTAGTCTTGAAAGTTCGATGACCTGGCAATACTGTTTCCCCATTTTCACATGTCACAATTGATGGATAAAAGTTTCAGTTGCCCCCTTTGGAGAGGGTATGCTGCAGCCCCTCTCATTCCTGCTATCTGGCATCCAGCTTTGTCACGCCTTTACCTTATATGTCAGTCCAGTGTTCCTATGTGAGCTGGTAACCTCTTCCCAAGTTTAACTGGTCTAATCCTGTTCTCATCTCAGTTAGGTATTATTAATGACTCTTATCCTCAAGGAAGATTTAGTTCTGAAGTTCTCTGTGTAATTCAGATTATTCACATACTGATTTAACTGGTCTTAACTTATTTGCCATATATATGTGTGTGTGTGTGTGTGTGTGTGTGTGTGTTTTGGATTATAACTACCTTAGCAAGATAGGTACTTAGAAATATCTCTTGATTCGGCATTTATGGAGTAGCTACTATGTGCTAGCATAGTACAAACTTTCTAAATGAATGGTTCAGAAACCACCAATTTTAGAATCACCTCTGGTGCTTGCTAATGCATGTTAAATATATAGATTCCTAGGCTCCATTGTAGATCTACCATAACACATTATGTAGGTGTGAGGCCCTGGAGTCTGCATGTTATACAGGGTACTGTTTGAAACTTACCTGTGAGCAGCTCTCCAGAGTGGGCAATAGTAGCAGCACCCATGCTAGTAGCAGTGGCCGTGGCCTGAGCAAAATGATAAAAATGTGTTCCAGAAGGAACAATACCTAGAAATTCTGCTGGCCAGCCCTCTGCACAGTGGCCCGTACAGAGTGATGGGGTCAGCTAGGAGGTAAGCAAGCCCATCAGAGTGGGCCATGGTTAAAGAGGAGCTTGATTGGAAGAAGAGGGGTAGTGCTTATCTAAGATTGGGTTCTCTGGGAAGCAGACTCTGAGATTTGAATGCAGAGAGTTTACAGCCAGTGCTCTCCAGATCAACCCCTGGGTGGGAATGAAGGAAGAACGACTGGGAAGAAAGGAAAGTTGAACTGAAATGCAGAAAAAAAAAAAAAAGCCTCAGTCAGCCTAGAGGGAGCTCTGGGTCTGGGATGGCCTTTCAGAGTTGTGCTGGATTGGGCCAATGCACTGGGCTCCTATAGTCCCCCATAACCAATCACTGGATGTGAACAGCCCTTGAGAAGACAGAGTTTACTTTAGTCAAGGTTGCTCTCTTCAGCTAAGAGGTACTCAGCTAAGAGCCTTCACCCTCCACTATTTCCAGCATCTAAAGCTATGACTATTTTAGTCCTGGAAGAGAGACTCTGGGTAGCAACACAATAGTACCTACTGTGGCAGAGTTTGGCAGGCTATGGCCCAAAGGCCACATGCAGCCTTTCATGTATTTTAGCAAATATGGTTTTATGGGACATAACCATGTTCATTATGGCTGTTTTCTTACAATAATGGCAGAGTTGAATGGGTGTGCCTAAAGTATTTACTATCTGGCACTTTAACAAAAGGTTTGCCATAGACACCTGATCTAGAAAGCAGCCCAATCCAAAGTGTCTTTTCCAACAGGGATTTTGATGTCACTTTCCAAATACTGGGCCAGTAGAACGAGGGAAGGGACAGGGGAAAGTGTGCAGTAAAGGGAACATTTCTGCTCTGGCAGTAGGTCACAGCAGAAAATCTGCCTCAAGCCATTTAGGCATAAGGAGGTAACCTCTTGAGGATTCCACTGAGAAGACTTGCAAGCTTGGCTAAGGGTTTTCTTTCCTTTACATGATGGGCAAAGAAGGAAGTCCATAATTATTTTCACCAGAATAATGTGATATATAAGAGACTTATACATTCATACTTTAAAACTCATTTGCTACTAGAAAAGAGTTGCTTAACTTAGTGTCTCTTGTGTTTAAACAGGGCCTGTGAAATAAAAGGTTTGGGATATCCTGGAACCCTAAGGTTCATGTTAGAAGCAAGGAGAGGAGCCATTGCTCAGTCTCCATGGTGAGAGACAAACACATCTGAATGCCCAGTCAGCCAAGATGGGCATTTAAAACAAGCAAGACTTCCCAAGTACTAGTAAGAGCTTGTTCATTTCAGTGGAGTATGTGGTGTTTCTTTATTATGCACTTAAAATAGGTAGTTTCTATAACAACAGTCTTAACTTAAATAGATGCATGCTCATCTCTTTGTTATGGAGGATAACATTTCAAAGACACTGTTCTCCTTTGTAAATCACTTTCAAGACAGAAAAAGATGTTCTGACTCATAAATTCATAGGGGACTGAGCCTGTCTCACTAAATCTCCTCCATTAAACTCTCCATAAACTCCTCCATAAACTCTTAGTATTCTGGGGCAGAACCCCGCCACTTCCCAAGGCCAGCGGCCATTTTCCTCTGTGTAGCAGTACAATCAATTGCATTTGAAGTCTTGGATCTGGGCTGAGACAGTTAAAAATGCGAGACACTCAGTATGAATGATCATCCATGAGCCTTCAGTAGGGGAAGTGGGAAGGAAGGTTCAGGACACCATGTAAGCATCTTGAAGGGTAAAGGCAGTATTTCCCAAATCATGAGAAAAATCAACTACACCAGAATCACCTGGAGAGACTGACTTTTTACAAAAGACTCCTGGGCTTCAATTCAATCCTTCCAAATTGGATTCTGAGAGTGGGACCCAAAAATCTGGGCTTTGTTCAAACAAGTTTTTCTGGGAATTCTGAGACACAAAAGTTTGAGGACCGGTGATTTAGCTTATCTTCTGTTCCATTGCTGCCAACCTCATTCAGAGGAAAATGTGTTTAAATGGCCTTCAAGAAGAATTCTGTGGAAAGATAAAATCATCATGGGGGACTTATATTCTGGTGGATTTGGCAATGTGGTAGTGATCCCATTAGAGTTTATGATTTTATGCATATAAACTGCAGGTCTTTAATTATTTTAAATTCAGCCAACAAACATTTAGGCATTTATTGAACACCCACTGTGTTGTAGGCAATGTGGCTATGCTGTGTGGGTAAAAAGTATACAGGGACGGTTGCGGTGGCTCACACTTGTAATCCCAGCACTTTGGGAGGCTGAGGCAGGTGGATCACTTGAGGCCAGGAGTTCGAGACCAGCCTGGCCAACATGGCGAAACCCCGTCTCTACTAAAAATACAAAAATTAGCTGGGTGTGGTGGCGGGTGCCTATAATCCCAGCTACTCGGGAAGTTGAGGCAGAAGAGTCACTTGAACCTGGGAGGCAGAGGTTGCAGTGAGCAGAGATTGCACCATTGGACTCCAGCCTAGGCAACAAGAACGAAACTCTGTCTCAAAAAAAAAAAAAAAAAGTATACAAAGAATCCCTACCCTCAAGTAGGTTACAGTCTGGCAATTGTTTCTACTTCACAGATGATAGATTGTGGTTCAGAGATGTTAAGTGGCTTACAAAGATGGACTGCTGATAAATGACAGAACTGGGACTAGTTCTGAATTCTTGACTCCTGTCCAATGAGTTCACCTTCTATCTTTTTAGATAAAATAAGGCCCTTAAAAATAGACTTGGCTTGCAACAAGCTAAGAACATGAAGAATCATACTCAGTATATCTATCCCACTTTTTAAATGTTGCAGCCATCTTTCTCATTAACATTGGAAATACTTCTGTCATTTGAAAATGCTTCTGACTATGCAAGTCCCTCACTATGATCATGTTCAAGCCTTTAGACTTACTAGAATGAAAGGATTCTTTCAAATGAGGTTCCTGGAAAACTTTCATAAGTACACTCTCTTAAAAGCAGGTCACAGAGGACAGTGTCAAATACTGTAGTGATGTTGAATAAGAGGAAATGGAGATGGGGCCATTGAACATTGGACTTAGGAGGCCATTAGTGACCTTAGGGTGAGCAGTTCTTATCCAGTGGTATGGACAGAAGTCAGAAAGCAGGAGCATGAAGAGGAGCTGAGGAAGGAGTGGGAGAATTGTGCTGAGTTCAGACAGATGTTCAAGATAAATGTGGGCAGGTAGATGGTGGGAACCAAGGTAGGGGGCAAAACTAGGCCAAACAAATAGAAATTGAGCACAAGGAATGGTGGGTTAAAGCTGGAGTTGAGGTTATTTGCAGAGATGCAGAGCAACACCCAGAGGCTGGTGTTTGCAGTTGCCCAAGTGGGCAGACCAAGCCTTGTTATAGGGGGTGGGGCTGCACAGACAGTTCTGGTGTGGAATCTTGTCCCTGAGAAGCCAAACACTTTGTTTCTCTGGCATCATTGTGCCTGACATTTGCCACCAGAATAGGCTATGGGATATGTCTCTCTATGGAGCTTTTTCTACACGATAAGCCACACTGAAATTTAGAGGTTGAAAACTACCACCATTGGTTTAACTCACAATTGTATGGGTTAGTTGGGTAGCACTGGGCTCATGTTGGATCTGTGGTCAGCTGTGGGTCAGGTAGGAAGCTCTACTTCTGGAGCTAGTCTGGCTGCTGGTTGAGGCTATAGGGGTGACTGGGCCATGTGTCTCTCATTAGCCAGCAGGCTAGCCTGGGCTTGTTCATGTTGATATAGTGGCTGGACAGGGTTCCAAGAAAAGGAATGCAAGGTCTCTTCAGGCGTAGGCTTGGAACTGGCACAATGTCATTTCTGCCACATTCTCTTGGCCAAAATAAGTCATGAGGCCAGGTCAGACTCAAGGGATTAGAAAATAGACTTTTGATGGGAAAAATTTCAAAATCACATTACAAGCAGGTCTGGAGGCAGGGAAGTGAATAATTGGGGCCACTTTTGCAAACAGTCTACCCAATTGCCCTCTGCTTCTATGAGCCGGCAGAGCCCATCAAATTGGAATGTAAGTCACACTTTATAGTTTGCACAGAAAATCAACTCCTCTTCTCAAGGGGCATATCTGTCCAGGCACCTGCTGAGTGAATTGGTGGCAGCTCAGTGATTACATCCCCATTGCTTGGTCTTAGGCCTGGAGAGCAGGCTTCTTGGTCCTGATTACCTTGAACATACTCTGTAGTCCTTTGCATTTGAAATGCTTTTGGTAATTGCTTGCTACCCAAGGGAACCAGTTCTGGGAGGAATGTATAACAGTAGCAGAAATGAACAATACAAAAGAGGCAATCAAGCCCTATGACTTCTGGGAACATCCAACACAAAATGTCATCTCAACTCTACTCCCTGATCTCTTTCTGAGGAGATGACCAACAGTCCCACAAAACTGAAGTAATTAAGTAGTTAACTCTCTAGGTGATGGCCTTGGCAGACCTTCATATATAAAGAATTTTGCCTTTCTCCTTCATTGTCACTGTGCTGATGGGAGCTGCCTTTAGGATTTCTTTGTAGTTGAACAAAGCTGGTGATGGCCCCAGTGTACTTAGTGAACCCCTTTTATGGGATGGTGCTTGAATGCCAGATATGTTGCTCCCTCTTCACAGGGCATGCGGCCACCATTAACATTCCTCTTACACCTTTTGTGGGAATTACAAACTAATTACAGAATGTGTAATTAAGTGCTTCATCTTTCAAATGCTGAAAAAATAAACTGAGCATTCCTCCTTTTGAGCTTGATTTTAGTATTGGTGATTAGCAACATGATTCACTCTGAAATGGGAGGGGTGTGCTTTCAAGTATACCTTTTGCTTTTTCAAGTATAATAAAAATATTGGAAGCTCAGGACAGGTTTGTTTTCCCTTCCCTAGAAGTAGAGTTGAAAGGAAACCCCTTTCTTCTTATCCTTTGTGAATGATCATTTTATTCTTATTGGACTAGTGACCAAGGTCGTCATGGTCCATGAAGCATAAGACAACTACTAACACTCATGTAGCATTTTACACTTAGTGAAGCTTGTTTATACCCATGTCTCATTTCATACTCACAATAAGCCTGTAAAGAAGGTATTTTTATTCCCACTTTACACTTGAGAATTCTGAAGCTCAAGGACTTTGTATGATTCAGTCCTGCTGCTAGAAAAAGGATGAATGGGGTCTTTAGCCAAGTCAATATGATTTTGGAATTCCATGTGCTTCCTCCTCCAATGTAGAAGAGGGAGGAGTCAGCCAGGTAAATCCTGTTTGGGGCATGCCTTGAGGTACTCCATTTCATCCCTAGAATTCTTCTGTGTTTGATACAACCAAGTGCTTCTCTTTGTGATATGTGGTCATTGTCATTGTTCCACGGACAAAAGTAGAGTTATGGCAGCACGAAATAGACAGGCAAACTTACCCATTAAAGGATGTTGATGTAACATTGTCTGAATGCTGGGATTTGATCATGAAGTCAGACCTTATTATGATTTCCCCTTAAAATGACATGAAAAGTATAGAGCAAGCCTCTCTGGACATGAGGCTGTATCAAAGTAATCATGCATTTTAACCCTGTGAACAGCTACATTACCCTCCCCACAGTTCTTCCATTTTATTATCTTGTCTCTGTTTTTTTTTTTTTGTCTCTACTAGATTGTACAGTTGGCACATGTTTACATCCCAAAACAGGCAGTATGTGTATATTTAATAAAGGAATCAATGGACATTTCTCCTTTCTTGGTTTTGGAGAATGAGGTCTAGGAGATCTTTGTTGGAATTTTCAGAAACTGCCAATGATCTTTTCTGTAGTAGATGTTCCACATACCACACCCATATCCCACTGGACACCCATCCAACTGATAGCACTTGCATTTCTTTGCCTGAGGGCCTTATCTAGTCACTAGAGTCTGCTTTGCCCTGCACTGGGCAAGATAGAAGTGCTAGAGAGTTGACATCCCCTGAGAGAAGTCCTTGCCAATGAATGATGGGAGCTGGTCGGTATGTACTCCAGCTCCCTCACCCCTCTGGGAGGTTAACTTTGAGGCACATGGCCTCCAAAGTTTTTTCGGTGAGACTGAGCCCCAGTTACCTACCGTGGTAGCTGGGTTGTTAATGTACCCTTAAAATGCTGTCTTCGTTTTCTCTCTCACTCCACTTCTCTCCTATTGGTATTTTCTTTATCTCACGAATAACTACTTGCATTCAGTTCCACTTGCAGCAGGTTCAGGGTTTGCTTCGGAGGGAATGCAAACTAAGAAACCTTTGTACTGGAGCATTAGAGACACTTCCCTTTGCCAAGTCAGTAAGTGTTTGCTGAATGCCAATTCTTTGTGAAGTTCCATGTGTGGAGAGCAGGGTTTCTCAACTGAGTTCTCCAAACTGGGAGCTGATCATAATCCTGAAAGATCCTGAAAATACAATTCTGGAAAAATAACAAACAACACTACTGTTTTTCTTTTTTCTTTATATTAATTTTTTGTAGAGACAAGGTCTTGCTATGTTGCCCAGGCTGGTCTCAAACTCTTGGTCTCAACTGATCCTTCCTCCTCAGCCTCTCAACGTGCTGAGATTACAAGTGTGAGTCACCACACTTGGCCACTAAAGGACATTGTTTAAAAGATATTTATTTGTTTTGAAAAGATTTATTTGAGAAATATATAAAAACGTGACAGAACACTTCATAGGCCACTTTACACAGCAAAATACACAATAACATATTTTTGCAAGCATAAAACAGGTATGGTAAAGAGTCATGCAGGTATAACAATTACAAGCAGACAAACTATATTTATAAAGAAATAGGTCAAAAATGGAAATGTAACAAACTATAGAAATGATCCCTGAAAGTATAGTAGTAGGGTGGGGGGAGGGAGAGGGATAGCATTAGGAGATATACCTAATGTGAATGACGAGTAAATGGGTGCAGCACACCAACATGGCACATGTATACATATGTAACAAACCTGCACGTTGTGCACACGTATCCTAGAACTTAAAGTATAATAAAAATATATATATATAAAATGGAAATGTACAAATGTATATTACTGTGGTTGGTAATTGTGTGACCAGCTTTATAACATCTGTCATCTGAAACACCGTGACAAATAACCTAAGTCTTTTGATATTTGGTCAAAACCTGCCATGGGTCACCACTGCATATGCAGTCTCTCAAATAATCGAGATCTTGAGAGAGTTTATCTTTCACAAATGCAGATGTACAAAATGGACATCTCTTAATTTACTGAGGAAGTTTCAATGTTGTTATATACATGCACAATGCTTACACACAACGTCAACATTTTGATAATACACTTTACATAGAGTCAACTCTGCAAAAAATACATAAAATGAATTGGAACTCTCTAAAAGTCTCTAAGCAATTTATATCTCCAATATTGAAAATGATGCAAATATGAGATATGTAGCATAGCAAATTGTAAAACATAATGCTGACAATTTAAAATAGTGGAAAAAAACTAAAAAAGGAAAAAATAACCCCAGAAAACCCCCCAAGAAATGAAAAAGAAAATTTGACATATGGAAAAGTATATGGAAATAGTTTATGGGCAATTGCATGGAGATAGTCCCTAAGAGCTGACTGATTTTCACCATCATTGACTATATTTTGAAGTCTTCCACAGTGAGGCATGGCTGCATTTTTTCTTTTAGGGCACGACCCACCTTGGAGAATATGCTCACTCTGGTGCTGCTCTTTTTAAAATTCTTCTATGATTTGCTGTACCCCAACATGAGCATTTTCTATTAAAATTTCTCATCTTCTGTGCCATCTTCCATGTTGCTTTGAACATGTGGAAATTCATTTCCCATGCACTCATATACAGACCAAAAATTTGGGAGAAACAATATTGGCGATGGAACAGCAACACTGTTGCATGTCTTCTTATTCTTCTGTGCATATAATTATTTTTGAACCAGTCTGTAACTTCATTAGGCTTCTTCAGGCAAATATGGCTTTAACTCATAAAAGCTCAAGGAATTTCGTCAGCTGGAAGGAATACCAATGCAGACACATGATGCATTTTTAAACTGAAGTTTTCATCTTTGCCGTATCACATGGCCAATTCACTCATTTGAATTTTCTGTCAAATGCATTGGGCTGAATGGAAAAAAACAATTATTATTGGTAACAGCTTGAATTCACTTTCAGAAGCCTTGACTGTATATAATTCTAAATCGGTCATTGTGCTTTGAGATTCAATTAGACATTAGGAATTTTAGACTGTAGGGATTTAGACTTTAGGGATTTTGGTCTTTTGGGATTTCAACATTCAGATTATGGCGTTCAGGATTGCGTCTTTTGGGATCATTATCCACACCCCATGGAGAAGTACCAGGGTGAATCAGGAGGCAGAGTGTGTCAGGGGAAAGCATGGGTGACAGTGTTTATTGTGGTTTTCATGGGAAGGAATGGGTGAGACAGGGTCATGAGGATCATTTTAGGATTAGCTGTTTGAATAATTTTAGCAAGCTCTGGAACACAGGGACTGCTCCTACTTGGCTGATAACTGGCCCTGTGATAACTAGGGTAGGCAAGTAGTATAGTGTATACTAGACTATTCTAGACTAAAATAGTATAGACTGTGGTAGCCTAAAAGGGGGAGAACTGGTTGGTTTGCATATCGAGGGCATGCTCTCAGAAAGTTTGATATCTTTAAGAATTAGCTAACTCTGGGAGGGGCAGTCCCTCCCAGATCCACACGATGTCAAAGCCTCATAAAAATAGAGAAAATAAAAAAACATGATTAATATAATCCGCTTTTTTGGTTCCCAGCCCCACACCTTCAGTCCCTGGTTTACAACTCATCCCTTGCATCCTGGCTAGCTAAGTTACCACTTCTGTTTGGCTTTGGAATCCCATGTGTGAATTACCCCTTTGGAGAATCCTGATGAGATGAATGCCAAGACCGTGGATCTATTCCTATCTCTTGGCCTGTGCCTCAGAGGATTAGACCCTGTACAGCTGAAGATGTTCTCTTTTTAATACCTCCCTGGATTAAGAAATGCTTTGGCCACCGAAGAAACATAGAGGGCTAGACTCGACTCCATCATGCCTCTTATTGCATATAAGTTAATCAATAGCCATTGATTAGCTATAGAACATTGATTTCTATAGAACATGGGCCATCTGGTCCTGCATCAGCTCCCAGCCAGGATCTGTCTGGCAGTACCAGGTCAAGGGATGGGTGCCACAGAGGCTACAGTGAGATGTGGAAGCACATGGCTAGATCCAGCCATTTCTCGGGAAAATTACCCATCTTTAAGAGGCTCTTGACCCCAATAAACAGGACACAGCAGTGGCTATGTCTGGCTTTGTGGTCTGAACCAAAAGCTTATTGGATTAAATTAATTCATAGGAAGGGCTTATAATAGTGCCTGGCATGTAATAAGCCCTCAACAATTATTAACCATTATAATTAATCACTTTTACAGTGCCTGATTCTTAATGAAGACTCAATAAATGATGCCTTACCACTACTACCAACTCATGCTACCCTGCACATACCATAGAATTTAAATGAATTCAAGTGAGAAAGTGATCCTGTAGGCTTTTGGTAATCTGCAAGGCACCAAAACAGTACAAGGGGAAAAATTCCTGGTAATAACTGCATTCATGATTTTCGAAGAAAATGAG